>NC_000010.11:49082489-49234004 GCF_000001405.40 Homo sapiens
AAATTAGTACAAATTTTTGTACTAAAAATACAAAAATTAGCCAGGTGTGGTGGCACATGCCTGTAATCCCAGCTACTTGGGAGGCTGAGGCAGGAGAACTGCTTGAACCCAGGAGGCGGAGGTTGCAATGAGCCAAAATCATGCCATTGCACTCCATCCTGGACAACAAGAGCAAAACTCCATCAAAAACAAAAGGAAAAGAAAAAAAAACACATATAGCTGCACACCCACAATAATTCTAAAAATCATGTTACATTCCCTTTCTCTTAAATCATTTACAGTTTTGTCTTTTGCCATTGAACTTCCAAAGGCATCACTGCCATTTTTAGACTCAACTGCAAGCTGCCATGTAGAAAATGCCCAGGCCTCCCTGAAGCAGATGGCAGGGCTGGCAGGCTGGAGCAGCTGCCCATGCAGAGACAGGCCAAGACTGGGGTGCATAATGTCAGCATGCCAGCTCCCGCCCTCCCAAACAGCCCCACCAAGCCAGGGCCAGGCAGATGGCACCTGTTGCCCAGCAACCCTGATCCCAGCAGGGGTATATTCAGTGCTCCTTTGAAAAAGAGTGACCCCAGTGCCCCTCAGCAGAGTCCAGGAACCCCGCTCTCCCCTGCTTTCTGAATCAAGAAAGTAAGCTTCAGTCTTGTACATTTCCAGGGCAAATGGAAAAGTCAGGAGATAGCAGTTTGAGACATAAGGCTGTGTATTTCTATTTTTTAATCCAGCCTGTAATACCATCTTGCTCAGGGTGAAATACCTGAGTGATAGCCCCAAAGGATTTTAACTCACTCCAGCATCTCACAAAGAGGCCTGACAATCAATGCCTCTTTTGTGCAGTGGGCTCACAGCCAGGATGAACTAAGCCCCAGGAGGATGGATATCCATCCACAACCCCTACTGTAGCTCTCTCGTCCAGGAACAAAAGGGCAAAAGGCCTGGGATCATGCGCCAGGGAGTTTCAACTGTACCTCTAACCTCGCCAAAGCTACGGCTGGGTTAAAAAAGCAAAGCACGGAGACGCTGCTGCTGCCGAAATCATAGGAAAAGATTGGTCTGTAAACAGCTGCTCTGAGGCAGGCACTACACATAGCGAGAATGCCAGTTCTGCTTTTGGATGAGGCCTGATTCTCTCTGTTGAGAAGAGAGCACATACTGGGCTACAGATTTCATGTAGAGAGTTAGGTCGGGAGTAACCCTGACATTCTATAGCTGCACATGAATTATGAGATACTGTTAATTGCACAAAGGGTTTCAGAAATGCTGATTATGCTGTGGGGTATGTTGGGTCTAAATGCCACAATCTTTCCAAATATATGGTCTTGTTTTTGCACCATGGCATTTTCAAAGTATGGTCCTCAGACCACTTGCATAGGAATCACCTGTGGCCCTGAAAGTTCTCTGATCCCTTCCTAATGTTATAACCAGAACCTCAGGGGCTGGAGCCTGAAGTCTCCCTGGAAGATTCTGATGCATCTGATGATACATAAGGCTCCAGCTGTCACATCCCTAGTGATCTACCCTTGCCACAGCCAGGCCCTCTCCATATCCCAACCCATCACAGTGCCTGGTCACAGGGCAGCTCCAGAGACATGGGGCAAACATCAATGGGGTTGCCTCAATTTTACTAAATAGTAATGAGAAAGGTAAACCTTGCCCTTACTACTGCTTCACTCTATGAGAAGTAAAGTCATTTTCATTTCTTTGCCAATGCCAATGAGTAGGCATTCTCTTAATGAGAGGCTGAGTGGGAGAAATGGGGATTATTTTACTAGGAGGCAGTCATCAAATAAAGAAAAAGGCAACTACAAAAATGCAGAGAAACATCAGGAAATACAAAGAATCACTGTTGGATTCTCATGAGTGCAATCTCATAAACAAAATATTTATGACTACAAAACAAAACAATTAATCCTAGAGGCCTATGTGGGTGACACCTTATGGTCTGCAAACGATGTTCACAATAAAAGTTACATTTTCCTAAGACAGAATGTGTTTCAGTCTACTGCTTTATAACTAGGCATTGGAAGGGGTGAGCTTGAAAGCAAGTACTTGCTCCCTAAGGATGGCCCTCCTTCTGCCAGATCATACAATGGGTTAACAAAGGGTGACAGTAAGGCCTCAAGACATGTGCCTCTCCTTAGAGACTTTTGGCTAGATCATTCCTCATCAATAAATGTTGTACCATCACCAGACATAATCTTTACAAAGTTCCTGACCACCTTTGAACATTAATCAGCCTTTCACTGATCCAAAGCTCTGCCAGAGAACTCACAAAGTGCATTCTTTAATTGCTTATGATCATAATCCTCACCCACTTTATGATAATAATTTCTCCGAACTTTCCTTACTCCAAGACAGGGTTTTCCAACCTCAGCACTCTGGATACTTGGAGCCAAAATTCTTTGTCATGGGGACTATCCTGTGTATTGTAGGATTGGCATCATCCTTGGCCCCTGCCACTAGATGCCAGGAGTACCCCCAAAAGCTGTGACAACCAAAGATACATGCAGACATTGGCAACTGTACCCTGGAGTAGCAAAAGTCACCCACTGTTGAGAACCCCTGCCCTAAGGCCCAAACCTGAATGTGCATCAGAATTGCCTGGATGTCTTGTTAAACCCCGGATTTCTTGGGCACCATCCCTAGAATTTCTGATTCTATAAGCTAGGGCAGGGCACAGCCATGTGCATTTGGAACAAGCTCCCAGGTGATGCATATGCTGCCGGTCTGCAATCACACTTTGGGAACCACTGTTCCAAGGCCATGGTTCTCAGCCTGGCTGCATGCTGCAATCATCTGGGGAGCTTTTAACAACTTCCAATTAAATCAGAATCTCTAGAGATGTGGTCCAGGCATTCATGTTCTTAACATTCCATGAGTGATTCTAGCATGGGTTGAAAATTACTTGGTTAAGGATTGCAAACTGTTTCTAGAACCCCAAACTCCTTAAGCAACCTGAAATAAAATGTAGTCACAGTAGAGGTACTTATCATTTTTATATCACTTGAAGATTCGTCCCTAATATCACCTGGGAGTAGGAATTCTGGAGCAAAACAAAACAAACAAAAATTATGTGGACTGGTGCTTTAACTTCCACTCTTTCAAAACTGTGGGCTGATACTGTCAGGGATTTCCATCTCACTTTGAGTAAGTTTAGACCAAGAAAACAACTTAAAAACTAAGAAGTTAGGGTCCTTTCTTTATATTCTGTTTCCTTCCTATTGTCTAAAAGTGAGGCTGCATCTTATCGTGGGGTGGGGGAAAGGGGGAGGGATGGCATTAGGAGATATACCTAATGTAAATGACGAGTTAATGGGTGCAGCACACCAATGTGGCACATGCATATATATGTAACAAACCTGCACGTTGTGCACATGTACCCTAGAACTTAAAGTATAATTTAAAAAAAAAGAAAAAGAAAAAGCAACTATAGAGCAATAAAAAAAAGAAATATACAAGCTTTACCTTCAAAAAATGCCCAAGTCTCTTTTGTTTTCTCAAAGGATGACTCTTCAGAAGCTTTGAGGGAAATGACTGAAAGACAAAAAAGAAACAGCACAGTATGAAAAAATAATGCCACATGGTACACATGGCACTTACATTTACAAAGCAATTTCTACATTTGCAAAACCACATTTAGTTGTCAAAACTCACATGTTAGGGAGGGGTGCAAGGACTTTACCTAACAGTTGGGAAACAAGGGGCACAGGAGAGGTTGAAGTTAAGTCATCCATGTTTAAAAGCCAGTAAATGGCAAGCTCAGGATGCAGTTCAGTAAAAGCCCCACTTGCCCCATAGACTTGAAAAATAAGAAGTTCCCAGTGGCAAACCCAATAATTAATACATGATTTATTTTACCATTTTAGTGGGAATCTTTCTAAAATGTAGTGTACTTGTCCCAGTATTCCTGGATAGAGGAACCTGAAGTCATCAGATGACTCAAGGTTAGTGCTCTGAGCACCATTCTCCATGCAAGACAGACCCACAGAGCCACAGGCATCTAATTGTGAGAACATTTTGTCTTCTTTCAGGTAATGGTAGATCACTGAATTCATTTTGCCTGCTTTCAACAGGCAGGGAAACAGAATTGAGTTACACTGTGTGAAACTTTGAACATCACATTAAAGGAGTCTGGGCCCACGGAAAGTTTCCATGTACAGGGGTAACATCATCATAGGTAAAGATCTAGAAAACAGACTGATGAAAAATGTAAAATATCACGGAATGAGATTATTGTTCAATAGAACCTTCTGAAGTTATTGAAATGTTCTATATCTGCACTGTCCAATACAGCAGCCACTGGACACATGTGGCTACTGAATACTTTAAATGCAGCCAGTCTTACCAAATAACTGAATTTTTACTTTTATTTAAGTTTAATTAATTTACCCAGCTACATGTGCTCAGGGGTTACCACAACGAAGAGCTCTAGACAAGAGAATCTAGGACCAGAATTGAATGGAGATAGAATCAACAAAAGAGACAAGAAATACGGCAAAGATGGCCTAGAACTTAAATTCGATTTACTGCCTCTCCCACAAACTTTTGTATTATTATTGTCATGATCTCAATTCTGAATTTTCCTTCCTTTTGTCTCTCTGGGCCTTGCACTGGATATTTCCTATTGACATATCTTCCAAATCATTAATTTTCTCTTCATCTGTGTTTAACCTTCTGTACAACCCTTCTATTAAGTTCTTAATTGCATTTATTCTTTTTATTCAGTTCTATATTATTTGTTTAATTCTTTTGTAGATATCTCAGTTCTCTAATGAATTTCTCTAGGTTGTCATCTAATTCTGCGACCATATCAATCATATTATTTTAATGTCTATGCCTGATAAACTTTCATATTTGCACTTCCCATAGACTCCTTTCTGTTATCTGTTTTTGCTTTAGATCTTGTCTGTTGGAATGCCTGATAACTTTTTTCTAATTGAATGCCAGACATTGTATATAGAAAATCTTGGTGACTCTAGATAAAATTTTGGTTCCCTGATAGGAAGTTAGAGTAGGGGGATGGTCACTTTAATCCAATCAGGGTTTGAACTGTTGAGAGGCTTTCAGTTTTTATAGAATCCGCTCTATTTCTGGTTTGCCCTTACTCAGGGTTCATTCGGTCCTTCAGGGTTCCCCAGCAAAAATCCTGGGGTATTTACCACAACCTCCCAATTTTTATCTCACTGTTAGAACTGCCAAAAACTAACTCACCTCCTAAACATACTGGTTGTCACTTTCTCCATAGCTTCTCTCAACTAGCACTGCTTAAGTATGAGTGAGTTTCTTAGAGTTAAACGTCTCCAGCAATTGGGCTCACTTTGCTGCTTTTCTCTGTGATCTAACTACCTATCTAGTCCTTCAGATAACAATTAAGATAGTTGGATATATATGCACATATATATAATTATATATGTTATATATGTATATATATACATATGTAATATATATGTATATATACATATGTAATATATATGTGTATATATACATATGTAATATATATGTGTATATACACATGTAATATATGTATATATACATATATATGTAATTATATAATACAAATATATTTATGAAATGTAGATATGTGAATCAGAAAGCAGAAGTGCTGATAGACTTTATTTTCAGTTTTCCTAATTGTTCTCAGGAGGAGGGCTTTGCTCTGCTGAGAGGTTGCCTTGATCACAGAACTCCTTTGCCATTAGAACTTAAATTATTTAAAAAGTAGTGGCTATATCTTCTACCTCTGTATTCCTATCACTGGGCACATTGCCTGGCAGCTGATAGGTGCTTGGTAAAATATATGAATTATATATTTCTTTCTGACTTCCTCCCAAAGGAAGCAACCTGGACCTCCAGGAAGGAGCTCTTAGTGAATATCTGACCTTGCATGTGATCTAAGATACATCAGACAATTTGTCCATCACACCCAACCTCCTTGACCTGCTCAATACCCATAGCCCCTGTAATCTACTGACTGCCAGATTCCCCCTTCAAACACTTAAAATAAGAAACAGAGTGCATGTGGTTATTGTGAGCCCTGAGATTGAAAGAGCCAGTGGATTTTGTGGGTGGCCATGTTGGAAAACAAGTGAGCAGAATGGAGCGGAGCCTAGAACCTGCATAGCAGAGGGAAGATGAGAGGCCAAAGCTTGATGGCACTCTGGGCCCCACAAGGCCTGGCATGTTGTATTTACTCTCTTTGCATTCCAAGAGCTTTGCACCCTTAGACTGTGCCCACTTCTCTCCTGAAAAAGCTTGGCTGGATTTCCATGGCTTCAGCTAATCAAGCCTAGATAAGGATAAGAAGGTCCTGATGAAGACAACACGGAGATGAACAATACACATATATCTTCAAGGAGCTTGGTTTCCAGGAGGCCAAGGATACCCATCATGGTGTGGACCCTTACCACCCCACATGTGGTCCACGGGCCAGCAATGTCAGTGTCACCCGGGAGCTCCTCAGAAATGCAGAATGGCAGGCCCCATGCCGGATCTACTGAATCAGAATCTGCTTTCAAGCCCAAATCCCCTGGGTGAAATGTATGCCTTTTAAAATTTGGCAAACACATGCTCACAGGGTTGAAAGACTCAATTGCCACTTGCTAGTTTTATGTCCTTGGATAAGTCACTTAATTTTCCTGTGCCTTATTTTACCCATTTGTAAAATGGGGATGATGAGAAATGCCCATGTCAGAGTAGATGCAGGGGTTAAAGGGGTTCATGTGTGTGAAGTGCTCAGAACAGTGCCTGAGACCTACTGAGCCCATATCCACACTAGCTGTCTAAGTACAGGGACTTTCACTTGTTTTATTCACTGCTCTAACCTCCACCCCCGCCAACCTCAGAATGGCCCTTTGTTGTCAGTCCTTTGCCTCAGGGGGTGACTCTTCAATCTCTACACCTTGAATGAGCTGCTGCCATTCTAACCAACAGGTGCCTTCGGGTCATTTTTTATGCAACTTTCAGGGTCAGAAATTGTGGGTCCTTGATTTAATCCAATTACAGTTCCCTTTCCCTTATTTAGGATAGAAAGCAACAAGCTCTCCCTAATCTATTTATGGACACATGTGTTGAAAGAGCTAACAAACTGGGATTCTAAACTAACCCTATGCAAGGAATCACTGGATGCTCCTCACTCCCCCGCAGTGCAGATATTTCACAGGACGGTGCAGCAACTTTGGCATCTGATTATTAGAAACACCAGTCCTAATCTTACTTGTTCCTACAAGAAAGAAAAATTTTTACATGGACCCTGCCAGATCTTCGGGAATTTTCCCAAGGTTCTCCCATAAGTATCTTGTTGCAGCTGCTAATCCTGTGCTATCTCAAAGTGAATTTGATATATTGTCAAGCCAGGGGTCTGAGTCCACAGACTATGAGGAAACAGAGCTGTGGGATGCAGCCAGGCCAACAGCAAGGGCTGTGTAGTGGACAATCAGCAGGTCTCCTGACTCCACAAATACTCTGCCCTCCTCAGCACAGCTGTGAGCAGCTAATATAAATTCACCTTGGTCAACCTTCAAGTGTGGAGTGGAAGAGGCCCCAGCAGGGTAGATGGGCTTGAAGAGGATGGAATGCTTTGAGAAAAAATTTGGCAAGACTAAGGAACAAGTGGCAAATGTTCCAACCACAGATTACTAATGTTGCTCAAAGACTTGTGGAAATAAAATGCAAATCTCCTGATGGAAGAGCATTTTTGTAACAGTTTCCAATGAGTTCAGCAATCAGAAGGCTGGAGCCTTAAGCAAGAGTCAATCAATCTATCCCATTCTGCCGTACTGGGCTCACCTTGGGATCCAGCTGGACTTCCAGACAATTGGAAAGAAGATGACAACAGCCTCTTGTACCAATTTGCTGACTCTTCCTATGCACCAGCTCAAAGGAATGGAGGTCCTGCCCTCCTGACAGCTGCTCATGATTAAAGGAGTGCCCAGCCCAATCCCCCAAAGAGGAAAGCAAGTGCATGACAGTCAGCTGGTGAGCCAGACAATGGTCCTATAGGGTCCTGATGGTGGACTCTGCTGCTCTGTGCTCAGGTTTTCATGATAGGGAGGAGAAATGAGACTTCCATCCCTTCCCAGGAAGGTGCAGGACTGGAATGATGCTGCCCCTCTCTGCCCTCTCATCTGCATTCACCACCTCCCTCACCCCTGGTGGACAAGGAAAAGCTCCTGATCCAGGTGAGCTTCTGACCACAGCCCCCCTCTGGGTGATAGGAATGTGGTAAAGAACTTTTTCCAAGTAGACTCTGTCCTGCCCTGTGCTCTGAGACTGGTCTCCCAGCAAATAGCTGGCATGGGGGCAAATGCTGTGGGGCCCCTTGGGACAGTCTCATCACCCCAGCTGCTGGGAGTGACACCAGCCCTGCCTCTCACGGAGCCCCACCTGTGACCACTCCTGCACACACTCCTCTACCATCCGTCCTGTGTCCAGGGAGACCATGACAAGGGCAGTGCAAGGACCCTGACCTCCTGCTCCCACAGTGCACAGGCATGTAGTCCCCATGCTGGGGTGGGGGGTGGGGAAAGGCGAACAGGCAGGACAACTGTTCAGGGAAGTAGAAGGAAGCCCAATTTGATCTCAGTGCCAAGCCACCTATCTCAGTACAGCTGTTATCGGAACTAAAGTGGGTTTTTATATCTGATGGGTCAGGTCTCACAGTGGAGGGAGGGGTGATGAGTGCTCAGAAGCTAAATTGTCAGCTGACCTACTGACTGCTTTGTCATTGCCTTGGGACCCTAGCACCCAATGGGCAGAGCCCATGAGAGTTTCCGGGGAGGCAGTGGCCCAGATGACAGAGCTACAGGCCACTCTGGGGCCTCCCCAGGAGCACAGAATAGGATGAAATCTAATAAGGGACAAGTTGTGAAATCCATCACGTCACTGCCCCTCTGTTGAAGAAAGTGGCCACAGGATCAAACAGTCAGGAAGAATGCAGCCCAGAGGTACTGAGACAAACCGATTCTATCAACTGCATGTCTAGAGGAAGCAGGCTGGAAAGAAAGAGCCTCAGTCAAGTCCCCTTTGATGGGACCTGGGGGGAAACCATCACTCAGAGAGGTGTGAAAACCGAGAGCCCTAATTCCTGCCTTGGAAAGAACACCCTGCCAACTTCCCTGGGGAGGGCATGTTTCACAGGTGAGTTCACACCAAGACCCTGTGACAATGCCCTCTGGGTGCCAAGGGGCCTCTGGTTCTTTCGGGGTCCCCCATTCACCAAGGACGCTGACATGCTTTGTCTAGACTGACCTTACTCACCCACGGAAGTGATGGCCAAAAATTCCGAGAGGTCCTGGGAAGGCTCCATTTTTCCTGAAATTCTCTCCCACTGGCGCCCCTAATTCCTTTAACAAAGAATCTTACAATTAACAAAGCTTAAATTGCAACTCTAGGCTATATCCAAAGTCAGGTGCACATTTCTGACACGGAAAGCCTTCCAG
The DNA here is from genome assembly GCF_000001405.40 of Homo sapiens. Taxonomy (NCBI): domain Eukaryota; kingdom Metazoa; phylum Chordata; class Mammalia; order Primates; family Hominidae; genus Homo; species Homo sapiens. Next base: position 49,091,927 of record NC_000010.11, read on the forward strand.
AACGCAGGATTCGATGGAGAGGAAAGTGGTGGGGCCCTGGCGGGCCAAGAGGAAGAACGAGGCAGGAGGGAGCAGGAGCCAGGATGCAGGGAAGGCAGGCAGCTGGGCTCAGGAGACATGCCTTCCCTTTCCGTGCCTACCCTGGCCAGGGTAGCTGAAGCCTTCTCCCAGACTCTACAGATCTTGTCCTTAGCAGGTGCTGCCTTCCTTAGTGCTCTAAAGCCATATTTTTAAACTTTACTGTGCAGAAGAATCAACTGGGCTCTTATTAAAACGAAGACTCCCAGGCATTGCCCCTGAGTTTCTGAGAGGGTTTGGGACTCTGCCTGAAGAGGGAGTTCACCTCTCAGGAAATTCTGAGGCTCCAGGCCCGAGGACCCTACTTGGAGAGTCTCTGTCATGTGCACTCCTAGAAGAAAGACTGAGTACAAGGAGATGTGGGAGAGGAGAGTCCTGCTGTGAGAAACCAGGCCCTGGGCCTCAGTGTCCTGTCCAATCCAGGAGAGGGTTTAGAACTCAAAACTAAACCAATGCCTCTTCTATTTAATCTAGGGAAAACAAGAGTAATAAGGATAAGGAGTGATCCTGCCACAGAAGTGTTATCTACAAAGTGATACGGGAGTGCTGGGAAGAGAAGAGTATGGTCCCTTTGAACAATATGGAAAGGGGAAGGGGCGTGCTGGGTAGAGGAGGGCGTGGTCCCTGGCTAGGGCTCCACCTCCACGGACCTAGGTGAGGACAGGCATTTCCTGCCCAAATATTGCATTTCCCAAGACCACTCTGGCCTGCCACGCCCCCATCCTGGGCCTATAAAAAGTTGAGAACCTAGCAAGGCAGAGACAGACGCAGTCAGACATCGAGAGGAGCACGTCACCGGAAGAAGACGCAAGCGGCTTGGTAGTCCAGAGAACATGGAGCAGATTATGCCAGCAGAAGAGCACACAGACAGGCACTGGTATGTAGGCAGGACATCGACCAGTGGGACCAGGCACCAGGCAGAGTTTGGCCGAGGCAGTCAGAAGAGAGCTGGGGCCACAGAGCAGCCCAACTCCAGGGGAAAACCGTCTCCCTTCTACCTCCCCCATTGACTGGGAGCTACTTGTACTCAATAAAACTTGGAGAATAAGATATTCTCCAAGCGCACATGTGATCTGATTCTTCCAGTACACCAAGGCACGAACCCGGGATACAGAAAGCCCTCTGTCCTTGAGACTAGGTGGAGGGTCTTAATTGAGCTACAGGCAGCCTATAGTCGGCAAAATAAGAGAGCACCCCATAACACATGCCCACTGGGGCTTCAGGAGTTATAAACATTCACCCCTGGACACTGCCGTGGGGTCGGAGCCCCACAGCTCCTGCCCATCTGTATGCTTCCCTAAAGGTTTGAGCAGCAGGGCACCAAAGAAGCCAGCCACACCCCTATCGCATGCACTGGTAGGGGGACAAGGGAACTTTTCCCGTTTCAAAAGGACCCTGAAAGAGCACCTTTTAATAGCATGTCTCAATGTAGAAAATGATGTGCAGAACACAGCTTTCAAGAAACAATGATTTTTAAAAGAGCAGAACATGTGTAAGGATGGACGTGTCTTCCCAAGGAGTCAACTGCCTGTCTTGGAAACTGGAGACAATTTGAATTGAAGCCTTCCTCCAGTGGTGATCTAATGTTTCACACCCTTCCTCTCTCTATGGAATGTGTGGCTTTAAAATCCATCACTGTGCACCAGACCATGCCTTATTCTACCTTGTTCATTATCTGTGTCTGTTTTCTTCACTTTCTAGAATCCTTCTTGGCCCATAGTTCAAGTCATAGTTACTCTTTTTTTTTTTTTTTTTTTTTTTGAGATGGAGTCTTGCTTCGTCGCCCAGGCTGGAGTGCAGTGGCAAGATCTAGGTTCGCTGCAAGCTCCTCTTCCCGGGTTCACGCCGTCCTCCTGCCTCAGCCTCCCAAGTAGCTGGGACCACAGGTGCCTGCCATAACGCCCAGCTAATTTTTTGTATTTTTAGTAGAGATGGGGTTTCACCATGTTAGCCAGGATAGTCTTGATCTCCTGACCTCGCGATCCACCCACCTCGGCCTCCCAAAGTGCTGGGATTACAGGCGTTAGCCACGGTGCCCGGCCGTCATAGTTACTCTTAATGAATGAATGAAATGAACGTGATACAGTGGGGTAAGTACACCTTACCAGGACTATGACATTGTTACTTTCCGGAAAGCTAGGAGAGGGGCCAGGGTCAGGGGGTCCCACCCTGCCCAGCAACAGTCCTTCCCCTGGAGCCTCAGAAGCAGTGGGGTTGCGCCAGCACACCTGGCTGCAGAGGCTAACTTCTCCACAAAATTCTGGCCTTGGAGTTGCAGGCTTTGTGTCTGTCATGATTTATTTTATGGCCTCTGGGAGTTTAGTTTCCTACAGAATGGAAGCAGAAAGTCCAAAGATGATTCCTAACCAGAAGGTGATTCTTCTTAAACAGAAGATGATTCTTAAGTTCCCTCAAGCTGAAAGGAAGCGGAAGAAGTTAAGGAGCCTGATCCCTGGCAAGTAGGCCTTGCTAATTTGCACCAGGAGAGAGCAAGTACCACCCTGCTCCAGGTCCCTCAGGCAGCATCTTACACAGGTTTTAATAGGAGAGGAAAATGTAAAGGGGCTGGAAGAGGATGGTGATGTGAAGTATGCAGAAGAAAAGATCCTTAAGTAAAACAAAGATGAGCCAACACCTTTGTCCCAAATTCAAATTCAATGTATTCAGTTCACTCTCCCTTCTTATTCAACAATGGATGAGATGGTTCCCAAGGAAACAGCTCTTAAAATGTAGCTGTGTCCTTGCTGTTTATAACTGGATCAACATTCTCAGTGGCAGGGGGTGGGGGGCGTGCCACTGCAGCCCCAGGGAGACACAGAGACCTTCTCTGTTTCTGCTCTCAGGCACTGGCCTATTGCTTCCTTTCTCCCTTGCCTCTCCAAGACTTAGGTCAAAGGCAGTCTCCCCTGGGGCTCAAATAAAGCCATATATGTCAGTAGGACCTCTGAGTGACCTGCAGGCAGCAGCCGATGAGAAACAATGAAACTCCAGCTTTGTCTAGCTTATGCCGCCCTTTCCTACCGCATTCAGTCCAAGACAAATTCCAGCAAACCAAGCAAAAGGGCAAACAAAAAAAATGAAATAGACTTCCCATGGCAAGGCGGTCGGAAAAGAAGTCCACATTCTGAAAGTGAAGGAGCTACAGAGCACAAAGGCTATCTTTATGTCCCCAATGAGAAGCTAGGAAATACTGAAACCTAGGGCTTGGTCACTGGTCCTTTACACACACAAGTCCAGGATAGGGCTATATATCCACTTGCTACTACCTTCCACTCCTAGTTGCCATTTTCTCTGCCATGTCTCCAGAGAAAAAGAGCTTGGATCACTCATTCACTCCTCCATCTAAAAAGTCATCATTGGGCCCCTTCTGTGTACATGCACCACATAACATGTGAGGGTGCATTTCGGAAGGCCCCGGCAGGGTCCTTGGTACCAAGGTCCCCAGCTGGGTCCATCTTTCCAACCATTCCTCTTGTTGCTGCCCACCCCTGTCCCCCAACAATTGCAAACATGCATCTAAGTCCATTGAGTTACTTTTGCATGCCTCTCTGGCCTCTTGCAACACTTTTGAGCAGGCTGTCGTCTCTACTGAAACAGCACAGCCCAGGGCTGTCTGCTGAAGCTCTCCTGTGCCCCAAGCGAAGTCCCACATCCTCCATGTGACCTTCTCCCATGGTCCAGCAATGTGTCCTCATCTCCCTTACTCCCATGTCAGCCTCACCCCCTCGTCTGGCCCTTTCACACTCTTTCTGTTTGCTACCTCCATAACGTCTATTAAATCTATAACCACATCTACACCATGGCTTCTCCCCTATGTTATGAGGCTGGGGCCCCAGGAGGGCAGGCATCAAACATCTCCATCTGTACCTCTCTTTGGGAAAGGCACAGTGATGACAGGCTCATAAACTGGGGCTTCATGCATGTTTGTGAGATTAAGTTTTTAATCTAAACTCTTCCAAGACCATGGCAGTTGGAATGAGGGTAGGTACGATGAAGAATTGTTTAAAGTGGTGTTTAAATTACACTCTGGTTGTCAATTTGATTCCTTTGAGTGTCTGGACCTGTTGACACTTTAAACACCATGATGTGTGTTTGCTTAATTAAGCAGAAGCCCTAAATGTTTAGTAAATCTCATTCCTCATTATCTGTTCCATGTCTCCCGAGAAAAAGGAATTATTTCGTTAATTTCTTCCACTAAAACTTGCAGTATCAGTTCCCTGTGGTAGTAACTTCAGATCTAATCATTAAATTTCCTCTCACACTTTGGGGTTAAACAGTCAGATGAGAAACCATATTATAATTTCATCTTTGCCCCCACATACTTTTAGGGTGACAAACAGTTTTTTCCATTTGCTTTGTCCAGTCTCCACATTAAACCTTACTTACATAATGTTAAGTCAAATAACAATTTGGCTTGTTAAAATACACTATGTGGGTTTAGAGTGAATTACGATTAAACTGCAGGAGACATCCCTTGCAAATTGCTTCTATTATTAGCATTTTCACTGCTGATAAAGACCACTCCATCTAAAAGCAGGAAGATTTATTTTGGCTCAGAAGGTTAGACTGCTTCTGAATCTGTGGGTTGTAGGATTGGGTTGAAAAGCCATTGAAGACCGTGTGTGTGTGTGTGTGTGTGTGTGTGTGTGTGTGTGTGTGTGTGTTTTGAGACGGAGTTTTGCTCTTGTTGCCCAGGCTGGAGTACAATGACACGATCTCGGCTCACTGCAACTTCTGCCTCCCAGGTCCAAGTGATTCTCCTGCCTCAGCCTGCCGAGTAGCTGGGATTACAGTCTCCCGCCACCATGCCCGGCTAATTTTTATATTTTTAGTAGACACGGGGTTTCACCATGTTAGCCAGGCTGGTCTTGAACTCCTGACCTCGTGATCCACCCACCTCAACCTCCCAAAGTTCTAGGATTACAGGCATGAGCCACCGTGCCCAGACAAAGATCATGTTTTTTGAAGTCTTGGGGATCAAAGCTGTGGCCTCCCTAAGAGCAGGAGCCTCTTAGGGAGGCTAATGACTACATCACTCCTGTGAACACCAGCAGCACACGCTCCCTGGGGTGAAGGCCCAGGAAGTGCACTCAGGCTATGGCCCTGCAAACCTGTCTCAACGCTTTCCACGGGAACCTTAGGACACGTGGCACTCAGGGCTACAGCTGGGGCCCATCTTTCACCAGGAGCCCCTTGGACACTTATGCTTCATCTTGGAATCTCTCCAGGCAGCACCTGAAGAAGCAAGCAAGCTTAAGGGTTCGCCCTGCCCCATGCCCACCGGGGGCCTCCTCCTGCTGAGCAAGTCTACAGAATCTGTGCTTCCAGAGGCACCAAGCCAGATCCGTCCCCTAGGGAGAAAAGTCTAGAGGTGATGGGATGTCAAGCACAATGGAGGAGGCACAAAGGTGGAGAGATTCCCAAAGCTGAGGGAGCAAAGGAAGGTAAAAAAAAAGGACAGAACACAAACCACAATGTCTTAGACTTGGGGACAAAGGGTCAAGGGTGCGTAGAGGGGCAATCAGGCCCTAGACATGAGAGAAACAGGAAGACAGCAACTGAAGTTATCAAGGGCAGGTCTGAGGCTCAGCACATGGCCCAGCAGCACTGAGCATGCAGGACAGACATGGGTGGACACAGTCTGTGCAACACAGGGCAAAGCAAAGTGCTTTTCTTCAGGAAGTATCATTATTTGAAAAGATATTTACCATAACTAGCTATATATTATTTTTCACTTACATGAGACATTTTGGCCCCCTAAAATATGAAATTGTCATCTCATTTCAAAGGTGACCTTGGAGTTTACCCTGAAGAGGACAAGAACAAGTTGTCTGCATCTCAATACTTACCTAAAATTGTGACTCAACTACTTCAGCAAAACTATTAACTGCTCTTTGTTTGTTTGCGTGTGTTCTTGTTTTTGTTTTTTTCTCTGGCCTAAGGGCATCAAGAACCAAGAGTATTTGGGAATCCCAACACTAGGCTATGATGCCTGCCAGGTATGAAACAAGTTCCAATTCAGTATGCCCTGGACACTCTCAATGTAAATAAGCCACCCCTTGGAGAGAGGGAGACATGGCTGAGCAGTGCACCTCCCTGTTGAAATCATCCCAACCCCCCTGCTTATGCTCCCTCAATTCTCATCCCGTTTTCCTTGTGCCACCCCCTTCAGCCTTGCTATGCCCCCACAGTGCTGGGCACACAGCCCTCAGGCCTCAGCCTTCCTCACCAGCCTTGGGGCTGGGCAGGGCATTATTGTGCACTCCACTTCATCACGTCTCACCTGCAGTGAGGCTACACCTGCATCTGGCCTGCTCGTGATGAATGAGTGAAAAGCTGCTACACATATTTACAGAGTTAGACCCCTGGGTGTCATCCCAAAGCTCTCTCCATCATTCACATCCAGTCCATCAGTAAAGACTTCACATCTGACCTCTTAATGTCTCCCCATTCCTACTGCCAAAGTTAGTCCTCCATCATTTCAAGCTCGTGCAACTACAAAAGACCCCACTTCCTCCTCCTCTAATCTGATTCCCCCCAGATCCATGCTCCAGGGAGCCAACATTCAAAAGGCTTAGAATGCTTTGTAAGCTTCCAGGCCTAATGCAGAGTCCCCAAAGCCCTGGCATGAGCTGCAGTGCCTGTCCCTCTGGACATCCATGCCGCCCCCACATAAACCACCAAGGACATCTCCAACATTGCCCTCTCCCTCAGCTCTTAAGGGACCCTGCGGTGTGTTCCCACAGTGCCCTGTGTGCATCCTGTCCCCTGCACTCACACTGCAAAACCCCATGTGTTTGTGTGTCTGCCACCCCATAGGCAGATCCACCCATGTGTTTCTGGGTCTCCATTATTGCAACAGCCTGGCACGCAGTAGGTGTTTGATAACATGCACACTGAGTGAAGGGATAAATGAATTTACCTAGCGCTGATGGACATCATCAATACTATTTTCTGGTGCTATTTCTTCACTGAGCCGAGCAAACCTTCCTCAATAGAATGGATCCTGTCTCTGAAGGCGGTTGCTCATTTCCTCATCACATTTGCCTCTCTTCTCTAGCTTAAATCTGTCTGTCTGGAAATGAAGTTCCCAAAGCTGACTGTGTAGTCCCAGTTAGGGTCTCACCAGTGTAGTACCTACGACACAATCACCTCCTTCTCAGGGGCTCCAGGTCGATTTGTATGTGGATGGAAACAACACCAGCTGTTGAGATGCAGTCTCACGTTGCAAATGCACGGCTGATTCGCTGCTATTATCACTCCGAATCCTTTCGCAGAGAGAGCCTCCCAGCAGCATCCAGCAATGCTTAAGATTTGTTTTCCCCACATGTATTGCTGTGCTGTTTTTCAAATTGAATTTCATTTTGTTATTTCCTGCCTATATTTCTTACCGCTCTGGAATCATTTTTATCATGTGTGATTTCTCACTGATGTTAAGAACATTTCCCAATTTTGCATTTTCTAGAAAGTTCATTAGGGTGATGTGGGCTTCTTTTTCAATGTTATTGATAAAACAATCAAAGGAAATCAAACCTAACATTGACCCTCATGATTTCCACTAGAAACCTCTCCAGGGGTTTCCGATGCCATGTGTCACTTAGGACTTTTCAATCCATTTTCTCTCTAAGCAGGATTTCTCACCCAGTGAAATCATCACATGGCACAGGCAATTGGAGAAACTGCGTCTTTTTCTTTGCCTTTCCTTTTACCATTGGGTAATAAAAACGACATCAACAAGTTCATCTGGCATGAGATTCTGTGAATAAGCCAGGCATGGCTCCACTGTTCTCCAGAGATTCTGTCCCTTTCATTCTTCATGTGCTAGAGACAGAGCAAAACCCTGTCTCTACTAAAAATACAAAAATTAGCTGGGTGGTGGCTGGTGCCTGTAATCGCAGCTACTTGAGAGGCTGAGGCAGGAGAATCGCTTGAACCCAGGAGGAGGCAGTTGCAGTGAGCCAAGATCATGCCACTGCACTCCAGTCTGGGAGACAGAGCCAGACTCCGTGAAAAAGGAAAAAGAAAAAGAAAAAGGAAGGAAAAGGAAAAAGAAAAGGAAAGATGCCTAAGAGATATTATCAGGGCAATCCCAGTTGTTTTTTTGATAGGTTAACCAGTAAGGATCATGAAAAAGCCACGGTTGCCTCAAAGCTGGCTTTTAATAAGATAACTGACAGTCTCTAAGGGTAGCTGTATGGGCTAGATGGAAGATGTGGTCAAGATAAAAACTGAAATAGTAGGTTAAAACTCACAGTAGTGTCATACAGAAAGGGTACAGGTAGTACTGGCCAATGCAATATGGTTAGAAAAATAATGAGATACTAATTCATAGATACTATTGAAATGCAACTGAGAAACACCACATCTGAAATAATAAGTTAACTCATTATGTTGCCAAATATAACTCAACAAAAGTCAAACTTTCTATATACCAGCAATACCGATTTAAAATCTTCACATACATGTGTCTGCATAGCAGGAGATGGTATATCCTAATTACAATTATAAAATACCTAGAAGTAAATATAATAAAAATGTTCGAGAGTCATGTGAAAAAAAATTGTACTGAAAGACATTTAAAAAAAAAACCCTGACTACATGAAGGAATACAACAAGTTCCTGGATAGGAACATTTAAAATCATAAAGATGTCTAAGATGAATATGCCCATAACAAAGTAACCTAAGAAGCCAATGAAATCCCAATCAAACCCCAATGTAATTTTTACAAAACTGGGTAAGTGGATCCTCAAGAGCATCTTAAAGAAAAACTAAATGTATAAGAATAGCTAAGAATTTAAAAAATAATGAGGATATTTGCCCTATTCTATAATAATTAGAATAGTGCTATATTGGTGAAGTGTACAAAGTTTTCATTTAAATATAGGGATTTAGCTTATGAAAAATGTGACATGTCAAGCTAGAAAAATACCTCTTCAACAGACAGTGTAGGGATAACATTTTAGCCTTTTGTAAAGAAAAAATAAATTAGCTACTATATACCTTATATAAAAAAACAGATTCCAAAGAGATAAAGGAGTAAAGCTTTCTTTTAATCATCTAAAAATATTAAAGAAAAATATGGAAAACACTTTTATAAGCTTGGGGCAGGGAATCCTTTCCAAGATTCGATACAAAACCAAGGTACCATGTACAATGTATTGAATGTAAATTACATTTCAATAAAAAATTCCACTAGAAAAGAATGCCACAAAGGAAAAAATATCAAATTTGACTACATAAATATCCAGAAATGTGAAATATCTATACGGTAAAAGAAAATATAAACAACGTGGAAAGAAAAGTAACAAACAGGAATAAAATTTTGTACCATATGTAATAGCTAAAAAATTAATGATCAGATCTACACACACACGTACACATATATAAAAAAGACAGCAACCCATTTATTAAGGTTATGGCCAGGAAATTCACAGAATAAATAAATGAACCATGAATAACAATGTTCAACCTTGCTAATAATTGAATACAAAAACAGAAATTAAATTGCACTGTATTGTATTGAATATAATAATCGAAATTAAAACAATGAAATATTTTTCCAATTGTGATAAATAATGGAAAAGATTAATAATATTGATTGTTAAAGAGGCTTCAGGGAAATATCATGCAATGATGGTCAGAGTATAAATTTGTAAAGTCTTTTCAGTGATAGCATTTTGGCATTGTCTACAAAAATTTTAAATATGCTTAGCCTTAGGCCCAGCAATTCCCTTTCCAGGAATCTAACTAACAGATACACTTGGAAAGATGTACAAGGATTTCACTGAAGCACTGTTTATGTTGGTGAAACACTGGAAGATTCCTAAGTGTCTATCACTGCGGGAATGATTGGATACAGTTTGGTATTATCTCACTATATAATACCAGTTACAAAAGAATACATGTAATATCACCAACAACTTATAAAGCAATACATGCACTATTGTTAAAATACATGTGTGTCTGCGTGTGTGTGTGTGTGTTTGTGTGTGTGTATGAATGTCAATAGGAAAGAGATTTGAAAGATCTAAACCAAATTATTGACAATGATTATCTCTGGGGATGGGAGTGGAACTGGGGATATTAGGTAGTGGGTAGGAGAAAGATATTTGCGCATTTTAGTTTTTGCATTGTTTGACTCTTTTTTGTTTTTTGTTTTTTTTTTTGAGAGCGGAGTGCTGGAGTGCAGTGGCGGGATCTTGGCTCACTGCAGCCTTTGCCTCCTGGGTTTAAGCAATTCTTCATCTCAGCCTCCCGAGTAGCTGGGATTACAGGTGCACACCACCACACCTGGCTAATTTTTGTATTTTTGTAGAGATGGGGTTTCACCATGTTGGCCAGGCTGGTCTTGAACTCTTGACTTCGTGATCCACCCACCTCGGCCTCCCAAAGTGCTGGGATTACAGGCGTAAGCCACCATGCCTGGCCAACTCTTTTATGTATAATATTTTTGACATCATCACTGTGCCACAGCAGCTTGAAAAACAACGGCATGACCACATAATGTTGTGTCTACAGTGCTAAAAACAGAAGCTACAAGATGTTGCCAGTGGGAGAGCACTCCATGGGCTGGCATGCCCAAAGAAGGCATTGATGGAAGATGAAAGCTGGATGTGGAGCCCCAAAAAATATGTATGATTGAAATAGGTCAAGGGAAAGAGAGGTAAGGCATCCCAGAGAGGGTGACTACATCCACCAAGTCACGCCTACTTCAAAGTCATCCACAGCAACAGTTGCTAATGACACTTGACAAAGAACATTTTATTCATTCATCAAGTATCTATTGAGGATCAACTGTGTACCAGGCACTGTTGCAGGCATTCATTGTTATCATCATCATCCTCAAAAAGTATATGATTGTGTTAGTCTGGGATCCCAGAGAAACAGAACGAACACACCCAGAAATAATGTTTTACCTGCTATCTGGGCATCGTTTAGCCTAGTCAAGTCAACACATAAAATTAACCAACACTCTTATGTAGACCAATCCGTGGGGAAAAGGCATTTTCAATGCTGGTGGTAATATAAATTTGTAAACTATTTTAGAGGTCAATTCACTTCTTGAAATTGTGTCCATTTTTAATTTGGGTAGATCTTTGGACCCGGCAATCTTATTTCCAGGATTTTATGCTAAGGTCAGGGATATTCATGGAGATTTATTGACAAAGATTTACAGCAGCTTCAAATGTCCAGTAACAATAAGCAGGAAGCTAAATTGAGGTCCACCTGCATGATGGAACATTATTCCATCATTAACATTATGTTTTTGAGGCATATTTAACAAGGGAAAATGTGCACACTATTTAGTAATATCAGAAAAGCGAGTCACAGAACACTCTTTACAGTAAGATTGAAATTAGGTTTTAAATTTTAATTTGCATAAAATGACAGGAAGGATTTGCACTGAAATGTTAAGTTGAGTAGAGATATGGTAAGTCATTTTTATTTTCTTCTTTAAACCCTTTCAGTATTTTTCCATGTTTTCTATAATTGAACTATATTACACTATATTACTTTTGCAATAGAAAACAACCAACATATGGAAATCAGGACAGATAATAAGAGCCAACACTCCTATGGCTCTTCTCAGAACTGGGAGTTATTTTTTAAATATATCATCGCAAGTCACCCTCCATGTGCTGGGCGAGGTGTTCATGACAGGGAAATGAGGAGAGACCAGGCACCAGCCTTTCTTTCTGGGAGTTTCCAGTGAAAGACAAGCAATTTTATCTCACATCAAGAACTCTGCAGGAAGGAGGCCATGGTTAAGTCTGCGGTGAAGGGCAAAGAGTGAGGTAGTATTACAAGGGAAATCCCAAGAAAAGCTCCCCTCTCCACTGGATGGCTGGAGACTCCTGTTGAAAGGAGGGAGGTGACATGAGCAGGTTAGACAAGAGAGACCACGGGCCTGGGGTGGGGGGCACTCAAACCCCCAAGAGCTCCTGTTTGATATTCTAACCCAAAGGTACGGACCACAGAACTTCTCATCCTTGTTGTTCTGTGTTTTTGTTTTCCATTTAAGGTGGCTCACACCTGTAATCTCAGCACTTTGGGAGGCCGAGGTGGGTGGATCACCTGAGGTCACAAGTTCAAGACCAGCCTGGCCAACATGGAGAAACCCTACCTCTACTAAAAATACAAAAATGAGCTGGGTGTGGTGGCGCATAGCTGTAATCCCAGCTACTCAGGAGACTGAGACAGGAGAATTGCTTGAACCCAGGAGGCAAAGGCTGCAGTGAGCCAAGATCACACCACTGCACTCCAGCCTGGGAGACAGAGCAAGGAGACTCTGTCTCAAAAACAACAACAACAACTATGAACATGAGGTGGAAATTTAGGAAAATAAGGCCGTTGGAGAGGAGCAAGGCCCAGGACACCGGGAAAGGTGCTCTGGGAGGCTGCAGCCATGCGCCTCTCCTGGCCCTGCCCAGGAAGAACAGGCAGCCAAGGCTCTGCACAGCCCCAGCCTGGGGCGGACAAGCTCCAACCCAAACAGCCTGCCTGGTTTCAGGCCATTTGCTTGGGGTTGCTTTTCCTTAACTGCCTTGGAACAGTCCCCTGGAAGCCTAAATAGAATGTTCTAGAAGATATGGTCATTGCTTCCTAAGGTTTTGAATCTTTCCATCAGCAAATCATGGCCCTGCCCAGGAGCTGAGATGGAGCAGACATGGCAAGGGAGGCTGAGCTCCGCTGAGAGGGTAGAACCACTTCTGGGTGAGAGGTCAGAGGGGAGTGGGCGAGAGAAGTGGAGAGACACAGAGAGATAGAGAGATACAGAGAGAGAGACACACAGAGAGATAGAGAGATACAGAGGGAGAGAGACACAGAGAGAGAGAGAGGGACAGAGACACACACGGAGAGAGAAAGAGACAGAGATACAAAGAGAGAGAGAGACACAGAGAGAGAGAGAAGGAAAGACAGAGAAACAGTGAGAGAAAGACACAGAGGGAGAGAGACAGAGAGACACAGAGGGAGACAGAGACACAGAGAGACAGAGAGAGAGACAGAGAGATACAGAGGGAGAGAGACCAGAGAGACAGAGGGAGACAGAGAGAGAGGGAGAGACAGAGACACAGAGAGAGACAGACACAGAGGGAGAGAGAGACAGAGAGAGATGGAAAGACAGAGAGAGACAGAGAGAGACCAAAAGACAAAGAGAGAGACAGAAGGAGAAAGAGACAGAGAGAGAGAGGGAGAGACAGAGAGACAGAGAGAGAGAGAGAGAGAGAGACAGAGAGGGAAAGAGATAGAAAGCCAGAAACAGAGAGACAGAGAGAGACGAAGAGACACAGAGGGAGGAAGAGACAGAGAAAGAGAGAGAGACGGGGGGGGGAGAGACAGAGAGAGATATACCAAGAGACAGAGAGAGAGAGAGACAGAAAGAGAGAGAAAGAGGGAGAGGCAGAGAGAGAAAGAGTGACAGACAGAGAGAGAGGAAAGACGAAGAAGAAAAGAGGCGGGGAGTGAAGGGAAGGGGAGCTGAGGAGGGGAAGGAAGAGAAACCAGAGGACCAGGGCAGGAAAGTGGGGGAGCAAGAGAAGAAGTGGGGAAAGATTCTTATTTCCAGTGAGGTGTTAAAAACTACCTCATGTTTTTGGAGCAAGTTCCCAAACAAATGTTCTAGACTGAACCCAGCTTCACTCACTGAAATGAGATTCACGTTAACCAACAAGCTAAATGACTCTGCTTACTTGAAGGTAGCAAAGCTTTTATATGCTTTATTTGGCAGAATGTCATCACTGCCAAGATATTTCGTCTGTGACTCCAGAATACACTGTGACACAAACACCAAAAACAACACAATTCACACATACACACGTATCATATGTGTGTGTGTATATATATATATATATCTTGTGTGTATATATATATGTATGTATATATCTTGTATATATAAAAGATCTTGTGTTTCACAGCCAAGTGGTATTTGCAGTGGGTTCTTGGCCCAGCCCTTGATGATCTGATGTCTTGTTTTCTATGTGAAAATAATAAGCCAATAGTCATTGGTTTTCTTGAATTAATTTGCTTAAGGAGAAAAATTGCACATTCTATTTAATACCTCATTCTGTACTTATAAACATTACAACAAGCAAACTCCAAAGACAAGTAAAATTGAACTACTGTAAAGACTCTGTATATAAATTATTTTACTCTATGTCCCTTATTCATATAGGACATTAAAAATACTTTTCACAACTAAGTTTTGTCCTTTAAAAAGGCTTGTCAAAACAACATCACTAAGGACTTGAGTATTTTGTTATATGTGTACAATAAAATTAGACCCTTTTTTGTATTTGAGACTATCAGCTGTACTTTGTGATCCTCTTGATCTTGTGCCAAACTAAATTCAATTTCAAAGCAATCAAAGGCAAAATTTAGTGCATAATAGGAAGTCTTACTAAAATTGTGAGAGGTGTCTTCCCGAATAGAAACATTGGTGATAAAAAAATGACAACCCCAAAATATGGCACTTGGTAGCTGAGATGTTGCAGAAATGCTGTCCATCCCTCCTATCTGTCTTCAGGAAGGGAGGGCTACCCCTGGTCCTCTGCCCACTTCCTCATGAATTTCTTGGCGAGCTGTTGCCTAAGTTTGGATCAGTTCCACTGGGCAACCAGCCTGCCCTGCTCCCAGGCCTGACGACTCACAGCAAAACCTCCCAACGCGTGCCTCCTCCATGGGTGCCCGGCACCCCCCAGCCAAAGCCATCAAGCCTGCACAGACCTGGGTGGGAGGCTGAGCACTGACAAACATGCTCTCCTTAGCCAAACTCCAGCCGGGCTCCTCAGAGCCCCTTCTCGACTAAGCCTCAGTCTTGGCCTAAAGACTCCAACAAACACTAACATAGTTTCTAATGGCTCAAGGCCACATGCCTATGCCTACGATGACCTCCTGAAAGTGCCTGCCTGAGAAAACTCAAGGCTGCCAAAAGCATTTACTGCTTGTTCCAGCCAACACCTGAAGACAAAACCCCCATCTCCCCATCTCTGTGGGAAGGTAGAAACCAAACTTCAAACTTCGATAAGCATCTTAGCAAACCCAGATGGCTCCACATAAGCCAAACCTCTCCCTACTGCTTTTTGCAATTTTCACACTTCTTTGACTCTACTGAGTCCCCACTCACCCCCACTCACTCATTCTCCTTTTAAAACAACCAGTCATGTCTGCACAAATCAGAGTTGAGTCCAGTTCATGCCAGGCTCTCTTCTCTACTGCAATAGCTACTGCTGAATAAAATCTGCCCTGACCCCTTTGACCAGGGTCCAGCTTTGTTTACCTTTGACAGCACACAGCAGTCCAACTTCAGACACATAAGAGGCTTTGCCCAGAGATTGGGCTGGGCCATGTTGGGGCAGGCACTTGGTCCTTTCTGTTCTCACTTCTGTGTCTACACAGCACATTAGCCAGTGTCCAGGTAAAGATCTACCCTCACCCCATGGCATGACTCATGTCTGTGACCAACAGAGGCCCACAAGATATGTTCTAGTGCAACACAGCCAACCCGGGAGCCCCTGGGTGGTGGCTGCAAAGGGGGGCCTACTGGCCTGCCCCACCACCACCTCTACCCAGGGAGACCAAGACCCTCACCTCTCATTTCCGTGGCTGAGGAGCCATTGGACCAGGCCGTCCACTTGTTCCTGTGCCTGCTGATTTCCTGGACTCTGCAGACGTAATGCCCTTGATCGGAGGGCTGCAGTGTCAAGACGGAGAGCCTGTAGAGCGCCCCCCGCTGCTCCTCCAGCAGGCGCAGCCTCCGCCGTTTGGCGCTGCGGCTGAAATTCCCATAGTACTGCACCACCCGGAGCTTGGTCATCTTCACCATCAAGGCCTCCTGGGAGTCGAAGGAGTGTGCAAAGAACCAGCGCACGGCCAGCAAGCTGTCCTTCCGCCTTTTCTGGGAGACGTGGCAGAGGAGAGTGGCATTCTCCCCCTCCAGGTAGTCAACCACGGGCCCCGGGGACACAGTGACATTGAGGGCCGCACAGACCTCTGCAGAGAAAAAGGGGAGAAGAGAGGATGAGGAGGGCCCCAAGTCCCCCTGTGGGCAGTCCACAGTCGAGGAGCCAGGAAATGCCTCCACGCACTGGGCATCCTAGTGCTCTGCCTGGCCAGAGAAGCAGGCGGCCCCTCACCTCTCCAGAGGAGGGGTTCTTCTGGGGGTGAGCCTCTGTGGGCCCCCACTGTCTCATCTATGGGACCACCCTGTCCATGTGGGATGCTAAACAATGACCTCCTGACCCAGAAGTATTTTTCAAAATTTTGTAATTAGTTGCTGACGTTTAAAATTCAAATTTCATGTAAAAGATTTAGATTTTTGGAATTTCTTAAAAATGTCTAGCCCACATCCAACCCCCCACCACTCCCCACACCTCACCACCTGGCCCCTGCCCCTCCCCAAGGCCTACTTTTATCAGTTTTGTCCCTGGCCTGATGTCAGCTGTGCTGTGGGTGGGGAGCCGCCCTGGAGCAGGGCAGGGTAGGGCCCTCTCTCTGGTGGCCTGTCCACCAGGAAGCTGGGCCCCTTTCCCTGACTCCGCTATTTCAACTGTACCCAGGGCAGATGAGTAGTAAGGTCGGATGTGAGCTGGGACAACAGGGGTTGCTTGGTTTCCTATTTGTAGGATCCATCGTCTCAGAGTTGAAGAGCAAGAATAAAGAATGATTAAACCCCAGGAAGAGGAGGGATGAGAGACTCTCCCAACAACCCAAAAGACACTTTGGAATTCCAGGCCCCATCCACAACTTCCTGTCCTTTGGTTCCTTAGTTAAAACCAGCCCGAGGGCTGCCCACTCCCAGCCACTGTTCTGCCCCTGAGCTGACCTGTGATGGAGCCACCCCAGCGCCCACTCCACCACCCAGACCAGTAGACCTCAGAGAGGCCGACTGCTGAAGTCTTCTCCCAGGAGCCACGATTCATGGTGTACCCTGGACTGCCCAGTGCGACCAGGCTGCCCGGTGCTCACAGCACAGCCCTCTGGCAGGCAGGGCCCGAGAAAAGATGCTTTGCACAGGATGCCTGGAACCTCTTTCTGCCAAGTCAGGGCTGTCTTCTCACCAGGTTCCATGTCCCCACCCCTGTACTGCCCCATGTATCACTCCAGGAAGCCATTCGCCTCCACCCCCCCACACAAGCAGGTGTCCCCATGGTCATCCCAAAGCACAGCTTTCAGTCCCAAAATGCCACCATCTGGTAACAGAAGAGGGCTTGGGCCCCAGATGTCACAGCCACCAAAACCTTTGACCCCTGGGCAGTGCTGCAGGGAAGCAAGGAGGAAAGTGGAAAAACAGATCAAGCAAGATCTGAACATTTGACAAGGAGGCTGTGGAGCAGCAAGCAGGCGGCCCTGCGGTGGGCTGGGGGAGGGATGGTAGATACAAACTATTCTTCATTGTAAAAATCCAGGCAACAGGTCTTCCTCCTATACAGTTTCCACTATTGATTTAATAACTGAACACCTCAAGACAGATGATTTCAGGATCATTTTTCCTTAATTTTCTTTCTCATCTCTCAGAAGACAAGCACTAGCCCACAGGATATTCAAGGGTAATTCCATGAGCCTTGACTTCATCACACCCATAAAGTCCCTTTTGTCATATAACGTTCCATTCACAGGTCCCCAGGGATTAAAACACCAAAGTCTTTGATATATATGGAAGTGAGCTCAGAAGAAAAAGGGTTAAGGCTCAGCTGGACTCTCCGCTGGATGGGTATGAGGTCTTCTATGCCTACAGTGATGCGGGAGATACTTAGGGCTGCAGACTAATGTGTAGCCAAAGGAGGGACCCACTCTGGTAGCAATCCCGCTGTCATCAGAAGCCCCTCCTGCAAGGCAAATGAAGAGGAATTGGCCCCACAATTCCCCCTGCATCTCGCCCACCTGGCAGGCACCTGGCCCATGGGCCATGTTAAATTAGTCAGAAGACATTTCTTCCTCACTGCTGAAGCCCTGTGTGAAGTCCACACAGCTCCCACGGCAGGAGCTCCCTGGTGAGGAATGCAGCAGCTGGGGGACACTGGCTGACCCAGCTCCAACAGCTGCTGGGGTTGGGCAGCCACAGAGAGCAGCAACGATGCAGCAGCTGGCTTCCAGAACTGAAGTCCAGCCCCACCCCGCCCTCAAGAGCTTCCCAGTGGAGGCCAGGAGAGCTGAGGAAGGCAGGAAATTGAAACAAGATGGGTGGGATGAGAGTGCAGCCGGGACCCCACGCCCCAGGCTCCTCCTATTAATGCTACATGGAAGAGGGATTATTTATAGTGACTGAAACCAGAAGGATGTGCCAAGTGCTCCAGTCCCCATGGGAGGCCAGATTTCTTCCTGGAGGCAAGCTAGTAACCCTTCCACTTCTGTGGCTCAGGACAGGGTCAGGGGATCCCAGGAAAGGGAAAGGACTATTCTCTAGCCTTCCAGGATGAACCCTCTTTTTATAGGCGCACCTCCCTGCCTTCATTTTGCCCCATATTCTCTTACAAATGGCACAAACTTCTGTTTCTTCTACCAAAGTGCAAAGACCTTTGTTATGGGTTGAATTGTGTCCTCCCAAAATTCATATGTTGAAGCGTTAGCCCCAGGACCTAAGAATGGGACTGTATTTGCAGATAGGGTCTTTAAAGGAGTAATTAAATTAAAATAAAGTCATTAAGCTGGGCCCTAATCTAGTATCAATGGTCTTTATAAGAAGAGGAGATAAGAACACAAACACCACAGAGGGAAGACCCTGTGAAGACACAGGGAGAAGGTGGCATCTCCAAGCCAAGGAGAGAGGCCTCAGGAGAAACCAACCCTGCCAGCACCTTGATTGGATTTCCAGACTCCAAAATGTGATGTTTCTGTTGTGTAAGTACCCCAGCCTATGGTACTCTGTTATGACAGCGTAAGCACACTAATCCAGCCCTGTTCACAGCAAGCTTCATTCCAGCCCTCTACCTGCACCTTCAGCACCAGGAGGTGGGTGGTGTGGTTAGAACTCTGATGGCCACAGGCCCCCGCCAAGTCTGAAAGCTTTGCTGGAGGACACAAGCTATTCAGGTTGTGGGGTCCCTGTGCCTGTGACAAGCCTTCTCAGCAAAGCTGGGTGCCTTGAGTAACATTCTTCTCTTCCCCAGCCCTGCCTTAAACCCAGCAAAGGTGGCACATGTATCCAGGCAACTGTGAGATGGGGCAAAGCAGGAGGGAGGAGAGGGAATGCAGTTAGGGCACCCAGGGGCTGGCAAATGTGAGCCAGTTGGGTGTTTATTTCAATACTAAGAGAGAGGTAGTCCGTTATCTTCCCCCGCAGTCATCAGGACCATAGGGCTCAGCAGAGGGAACACCAATGGCAATCAGAGGACAGGACGAGGGGAAGCAGGTGCAGCAGTGTCCAGAGGCAGGAGACAGTGTACAGGGCCCCCGGGAGCCCAGGCTCTTCCCTCTGGATCTCAGTCTGAATGACAGTCCATGCATGCCCAGCTTGTCAGAGGGGCAGGACCTGATGGTGTCACTCGCCCCCTCCTCCACCAGGTAGATGATGGAGCAGCCAGGCAGGGCAGATCCTCCCTCTCCTGGCCTAGGAAGGATTGCCAAAGTCACTCAGGCCCGAAGAAGAAATTAATTTCTTGTTTTGTGACCCTGTGTTGCGGAGAATTGAGGTGGGAGGGAGACGCATCGTCCCCCTCCCCGTTGTACCTCTCCACTCACAGTTCCTGCTTCCTCCAGCTTAAGCCTCATGCAGCAGGCATGTTGTGAAGAAGAAAACAACATTCCTGACCTTGTGCAGTGGACAGTCCAGTGGGTAAGGCAGCCACTCATTGGGGAAAAGACATGGGAGAATATAACTACAGTGTCACATGCCACAGAGAAAAGTGCAGGGTTTAAGAAAATCATGGCAAGATCCTGATCTAGACTTCGGGGTCAGGGGAAGGGACTCTGGGGATGTGAGCTTGAGCTAAAGACTCACTTGCAGCTAATGAAATAAAGTTCAAGGCAGCAACAAGGAATGATTTCCAAGGAGGGAGCCCCACCTCTGCAAATGTTGTGAGGCAAGAGGGACCCTGTACAGGCTGGAAATGGAAAGGTCAGTTCATCCTGGTGAACTGTACCCCACTGTGGCCCAACAGCCACCCTTGCCAACACATGATCCTCAGAAGGCATTCCCTACCCCAGTCAGGTTCCCCAAGGCCACTTTTTGAAGGAGGAATATAACAAAACTGATAGGGAAGAGACTGATACAAACAGAGGGACAGGATTCCTGCTGCAGCAAATCCCAGTCTCCAACAAGCACATGCTCTGGGACTTGGTAGTCCTGGGCACCACATGGGCTAAGCACTGGATGTTTATGGTCCCAGGCCTTCTCTGGTAGTTGCAGAGAAACGATGAGACACAGAAGCAGTGGCTTGGTGGGGCTGGGTAGAGAGCCAGGGGCTGGCATCTGACAGAACCAGGCCGGAAACCTGATTCTGTTAGGTGTGAGCCTCCTGGAGTTTCAGTTTCCTCATCCGAAAAATGGGAAAAGGATGCCTTTCACAGTAAGCATAGGCTCCAATGCAAAAGCACCCTTAAAATACA
Source organism: Homo sapiens (assembly GCF_000001405.40). Taxonomy (NCBI): domain Eukaryota; kingdom Metazoa; phylum Chordata; class Mammalia; order Primates; family Hominidae; genus Homo; species Homo sapiens. Next base: position 49,112,550 of record NC_000010.11, read on the forward strand.
GATAGAGTTTGCATGCCCTGAGACTGGGGAGGTGGGAGCAATAGAAAGTGACATGCACACTGTCCTGTGAGTACAGTGGGCTTCGTGGGCCCACGACCTGCAGGCACACAGGACCCCATGGTTGGAAGTCCTCACACCCCAACATGGTTTAATCTCTGCTGTTGCTATCTTGAAATTTTAATACATTTTAACAAGGAGGCCCACATTTTCATTTGACACTGGATCCCACAAGCGATGTAGCTGGTTATGTTTGTAGACGAATCTCAAATTCCTGTGGATAAAAGTTAAGGTGTCTAACCCCCTTGCTTATATTTGAATAATGTCATGAAAAGGACTAACACCACTCTGAAAACAGCCTAGGACACCGTTGTAGCTGAATAGAACAACCTACTCATTGTGAAGTGGGAGATGGCCACTTCCAGGTGAGGGAGTAAGGACAACTAACAGAACAAGGCAGCAGCCTCATCTGGGATGCAGAGGTGGGCACAGTCCCTCGGTTCTGAGCAGGCCAGGGATGTGCTCGTAGCTGTGTGCCTCCCACTTCCTCTCTGCCTGAAGAAACTGCACCTGCTCACTTCAGGGAGACCAGAGCCTCTAAGTTTATAAGGAATGCAAACTGTCAGTACTGATCAGCAGCAGTGAGCTTTCTTATTAAAAGAATAGTCTGAATTCATACAGCTAAATCTCTGAAAGAAATAGTTATATTACTTAACAGTCTTTGGCACCAGGAGCCAGTATTTACTGAGCACTAAGCAGAGGTGATGCCAGACCTAGCCCATGGACTGATTCACTCACATTAGCCTATCACCTGAAAATAGCTCCATCCAGGATAAAAATATCACCTTGCCCAATGATAGAGGCTAATACCTGCCGGGTACAAACTCTATGCCCTTTAGATGTATTTTCTCAATTTATCCTGATACTCTGTTTATTCCCATTTTATAGACAAGAGGACTGAGGTACAGAGAGGCTAAGCCCTTGTTCAAGCTCACATAGTAAGTGGCAGAGCTGGAATTCGAACCTAGGCCATCTTGCTTCAAAGACAGCTCAGCCACCTCTCAAGCCTACAGATTTGCTATCGTAAATATATTGTCTGTCAGTTTTCTTTCCTGTAAAATGAGACATGGGACCAGGTGACCACTAGGGTCCTGGTCAGTCCCAAAATGGAGAGGCAGAAAAGTACAGCAGTTAAGAAGCTGTACTTATGTATAAAATGGGTCTGCCAGCCCCTCCCAGCAGGATCGTGGTGAGGAGTCATGAATGAGGCACTTAGAAAAGTGGGTGGCACACAGTGAGTGTCCCACAAGCAGGAGCTCTTATCATCCTCCAGGGCTGACCATGGGCACAGCCAGGGCAGACTCTAAAGGCTCCTGAATTCCAGCTCTCAAGGCTCCCGAGGGCTCTGGAAATGTGAGAATGCCCTTGATCCCCAGCAAAAGACAATCTCTGGGACACCCACTCTGACAGCTCCTGCAATTAGAAGGTGGTCATGGAGCCTGGGAGAGGAAGGACCACTGGCTGCTGGCTACTCCACAGAGACCACGAGAACTGGCCCTGCCCACCAGTCCAAGGCAAACTTCTCATCATTTTTCCAGCCGAGACAGTGACAACTGGGAAAAGGTACATTTCCCGCAGCAAGGATTTCAGGTTCACTGGGAACCTGGCTGCACTCATAGCTGGGGGACAGTAGATGGATTTCTTCCCACTGTTATCCAAGTGCCTCCTCCTCAGACTGGGATCTATGGATTAATGCTGGCTCAAATGCCAGCTCTACACTTGGTAGCCAGATCACTCTTGGAAAATGACTTCTGAGCATCAGTTTCCTAATTTTCAAAACAATGGCAACACAGTTTAGTGGTTATTGACAGAGCCCAGAGCCAGGCTAACTGGGTTCAAATCCCAGCTCCACCACTTACAAGCCTACTGAATTAAGGCAAGTCCGTTCATGGGCCTGAGCCTCAGTTTCCTCATCTATAAAATAGGGATAATAATAGCACCTCCTTCAGAGGTTATTGGTGAGATTAACCAAGTTCATGTTTTTTTTTTTTAATACTTGGATATATAAACGTGTTGTAGTCATTATTACTTGGAAGTGTTGTAATTAAATGAGATAGGCCCAGATAGGCACCCAGGGAAAGTGACCATCGATACCTGTATTATTACTATTATTCCAGCCAGTACGGCCCCTGCTGCCCTGAGGCAGCCAGACAGAGTTCTGGGGAATAAAGAGGGAAAATTCTTAAGACACTTACAAGTGGGAGCAGTAAAACCCGAATGAAAGCCATTAGTGTGGACCAAGAAGTTGTCCTCAAAGCAGGGTGCTGGTGGAGAGGCGTCGCTGCATCCAGCCGTGGATGCCCCTCTCACCAGGCCTGGTCACCTCAAAAGGCCCACGATCAAGTCCCCGTTCCCCACCTCCTGGCCAAGGCAGATCCAGCCGCTCCTGACTTGTCTTCGGAGTAACTCTCCGAAGAGAGTGAAAGGGAAGTTGCTGCTCCGAGGAATCTGCCAAGAGCTGTGTGTCCTGACTGCCGTGGAAAAAAGGAAAGCGAACCACCAACTTGGGCTGCGCTCCTGCTGCATCTCCCCTCGGGGCCTGCCGCTGGGAAGATCTCGGCTGCTGCGAGAGTACCCAGCCCCAGGCGAGGTCGGGACGGGGACCGCGCTCACGGGAGGCGTCCTCTGAACCTTGGGGAGGCGCCGCTGCGCCCGCCAGACCCTCGGCGAGCCCACCGGAGCGCGCTGGCGACAGTGACAGCGCCGCCCCCCGCCCGCGCCCGGAGGTGGCAGGGCCTCCCCACCAGGCCCGGAGCCCCGGCCTCCCCGGCGCGGCCGCCCGGCCCCCACCCTTCCCGCTCCCGCCTGGCCCCGCCGCGCTTACCCGGAGCCGGAGCCCGCGCCAGCAGCGCGGCCGCCGCCAGTGCCAGCAGCCGCATCTCCCCGCCGCCGCCCGGCGCTGTGACGCGGGAGAGCGCCGCCGCCTGGCCCGGCCGCCGCCAGCCCGCCCCGGGCCCGCGCTCGCGCCCGCCCCCGGCCCGCCCCTTGGGCCGCCTGCCACGCGGGGCCGGGGCTGCTGGGTCCCGAGGCCCGCACCGGGCGCGGGAGCCGCCGCGCGATCGGTTCGCTCCAGGATCTGTGGCGTCTCCTTTCAACAGCCCCATTTCCCAGATGAGAAAACTGAGTTTCTGCAAGGTGATCGCTGGTGACTCACAGAACACACAGCTGCAGTGCGACCGGCGGTCCTCTGCCCACAGATGCACTTATTCCTAAGGGAAGGCGGGATCTGGGAGCCAGGGGGTGGGGGCGCGTCCAGGGAACCTCTGGCCTGAGACTCACCTGCTGGTCGTGGGCCTCCTGCGCTCACTCCACAGGACCCTCGGGAGCCAACAAGCAGCTGAGGGGGGAGAAGCCCCTTCTGCTGCCCTGAAATGGAGGGCGGGGTCCGAGGTGCTAACCCTTGGAAAACTGAGAGGGTCCACACAGACCAGCCCAGAATATGTGGAAACTATTAACAAAAGTGCCCATTTACAGTGCCTCAGCCAGGCCTGGGCTAAAGTGATTTTCCAGATGCTACTGAACCCCGCCGCGGTCAGGCCTGGGACAGTTCTGTAATCTCCATGTGCCTCAGTTTCCTGCACCTGTAAAATGGGGAAATGGGCCCACCCCTTCTGGGGTGTTTAGGAAGACCAAGTTACACCATTCCCATTAACGCATTGCCCCAGCACCCGATTCACGGGTGTCAGTGAACACTACTATTATTACTATACATAAGGAAGCAGAAGCAGCCACATGAAAGAGACCCATGTCACACAACCACAGAGCCCTGTCACTCTGAGCCAATGCCTGGTCTCTTTGCCACTGTTCTAAACTTAGGGTCTGAGCCTAACCCATCTCCAAGCAAGAAAAGCACATGTTAGGTCTATTCTGTGTGTGTCTATCAGGAGAGGTCTTTGTGGAGTTCCAGTGAGGGGTAGCAGCAGCTAGCAGGTGGGCCCTGGTTGGGAGTGGGTCCCTGTAGGAGGAGGAGGAGACAGGGCCCTCATCTCCTTCCCTCTAAGGGAGTGAGGAGGTGTGGGTGGCATGGAAAGAGGGTGCAGCCCACTAGTGTGAGCCCCAGGGCATTCCCCAGAGGGACCATCCTCTTCAGGCACCCCAGGCCAGTGGGTGCAAAGGCTCTGTGACATCTCTGAACCCCAGGCACTTCCAGAGGTCTCTGGACCCCATGGGATCCTCCAGCTAGGAGACTCATCTGTGGACCAGGGCCCTGCAGGGACTGGACTGACCATCAAGGCAGCCAGGCTGGAGAAAGCAGCCCCATCTATAATTTGGGTTGGTGGAAGGGCCTGAGGACCCGATAGTGAGTTGGCAACAAAGGTACTTGGCTATGATGCCAAGGACAAGAAGTGAGGACTAGAACTGGGGTCAGATGGACTCCTGCAGCCCAGGAATGCAAACTAGAACCAAGTGAGGCTTCCAGACCAGAGTTTGGAAACCAATTTTATACATGAGCAAACGAGCCTCACGTCCCATCCACATAATGTCCTAGGCCTCATTTTACAAATTAGTAAATTCAGGCTCAAAGAAGACCAGGGACCCGTACAAGGTTCTGTGGGGCACCAAATGTCTGAACTGGGAACTTGGACTCTGACTGCAGACTGTTGACTCAGCCCTGGAGCCTGGGGCAGTGTTTGGCAGACTGAGGGAGGATGTCTGAAGAGGAGCACTGGTTCTGAAAGTGGATCTGTGACCCGCTCTGGCTGGGCAACAACCTTGGGTCCTGGAGCAGCACAACCTCTCTGAATTTCATTTGTCAAGTGAAGGTGACACATGTAAAATGGCGTCTTGACATGGCTGTACTAAGAGCAGCTAGAGATGTGGCAGGGCCATTTGGTATCCTTGGTAACCTCCCACCTCAACCTGCTGGTCTCAATTTACTCTCCCAGTTGGTGAAAAGCAGAAGGGACCCCTTAGATGTGTCAGCCACCCTTGGAGGAGGCAACTCCTGCTTTGGTCGTTGTATATTGCTAAATATCCAACTCTCATTGCAAAACAGAGCAGAAATTCAGCCTGCCACCCTTGACTTGCTTCGTCTTTACCAAACTGGGGTTGTGCCAAAGATTTGAGGCTAGAAAGTGCTTTTCTTGTACTTTTCTGCTACAGGTAACATTGTGCTGATTTTACAGCTGTGTGCACTGCTGGTACTTTTCAGCTTCCCATATAATCTAACTGATCATCCTGGTAAAACCTTTGCTGCATGAACACAGGAACAAGGGAATATACTCAGCCCTCATGGGAGACAGAGCCAGTGACCCGGATAAGACTTGGCCTTTCAGCTCTTCTGGACTACATTGGCAAAGGCCTTCCAAATGGTTTTCTTAGCTCTGCTGCCTGCTCACTCATTCACAAGCTTAGGACCATTTGAAAATCCTTCACAGGCTTCTTTGTCCATACCTTGGCTCTATCAGGTCTTACTTTGTACTGAATTGGAAGAATAATACAATCCAATTCTATTTTTTGTTTACCTCATAAGAAGAGGGTGTTCAAACCATTCTAAAGTTGATCCAGATTCCTGTGGACACTAAGCTATATGGAGAGCCTACTCAACTAATCCTGTATTCTACCAGTTGCCACTGAAAGAATCTTAGAAATCCAGATTTTCTCCAACAAGTGCATTCTGCTATCACCTGGCAGGCCGGGGCTTTTCCTCTTTCATTATCCAATTGTTTGTTAGAACCTGGGTCAGAGATGGAAGAGTACAGCATGGTTTTGTAATGGACCTTGCACACAGCAAATATATCCCTAAACTAAGACCATCAAGCAAAACGAAACACCCCTCTTCTAAGGTGTTTAGCAGATTTCCAAGTGTTACTTTTTCAGTCTAGGTTTCTAAAAGTAATTTTGAATATTTGCTCCTCCCTATTGTTCACAGGCATTTTACAGCTAAAAGCAGTCAGCTACATGCTTGAATTGCCACTAAAAGAGAGTTCACTCTAGAGAAAAGCAGTTATCAGCTGTGACTGAGAGAGCAGGGAAAGGATAAGAAAGAGGAGAGATCGTGGTTACAGACAATGCAGCCATCCAATCAGAAAGATATGCCTAAGGCCCCTGGGGCAGAGTTTACATGAAACCTTCAGCACCGTCTTCTCCCTGCACAACTGGGGAAGGAGTATGGACTACACTGTTTTTCCCGAAATGTACAGAAATGTGAAGCTATAGGCCTGACAGGATGTCTAGATAGAAATAGCTTCTAACCAACCTCATTGGTGACCCCAATAGAGGGACGTGATTGTGAGCTGATGCCAAGGGCTCTGCAGGCCGGCTGGATGCAGCAACCTGGACCAGCTCCCAGGAAACGGAAAGACATGGCCCCAGATTCCTAGAAGGCTCCAGATGGAGGTGATTGAAATGAGGGAGGGACTAGGAACCAAACAGATGTCTATAAAACTGACCACAAAGAAAACATCTTAGAACTGACCACTGATGTATAAGACTAAAAATCTCAGTCTATGCCTTCTACTTTTATTGAACATTCAGTGAGCAAAAGACAGACTGAAGAACTGTTCAGAGTAAAAGAGGTTAAAAAGACTTATCAACTAAGTGAAACGTATGATCCTAGATCCTTGATGTGGGATCAGGAAAAAAATGCTAAAAAGGACATTATTGGTATGACTGGCAAATGGACTATATTGTATACTACATACATTTCCTGAGCATGATTATGAAAGAGAATGCCTTTACACTTGTTCTTAGGCGATCCACACTGAAGTATCTGGTGTTAATAGAATGACTGTAAATTACTCTTAAATGGTTCAGCAAAAATAACAAGTTTATCTATAATATGTATTGTATAATATATATATGGAAAGAGAGAGAGACACAGGGAGAGAGAGGCAAATGGGAAAGTCAGTAGATCTAGATAAAGAGCATATGGAATTCATTGTACTATTCTTGCAACTTCTGTAAGTTTTCATTTTTTTCGAAGTAAAACTTAAAACTAAAACTTGTTTATTACTTTTATGATATCTCAGTGTTTTTATATATATGCTGCTCATAGGCATCATGTAATTATTGATCAGTATCATACATATTACATTATTTCATCTATTGTAAGGTACTATTAATTATAAATTGCTTCCTCCCCATGTCAAAGATGTTACAGTAAATGCAGTTCTGATGTTTTGTGAATCCAAGCAGAAGACTTAGGCTTCAGGAAAATTCCCATTCTGCATTCTTAATAACTTAGAAATAAGGGAATAAGACCTCTGTAAGTCCTCTACAGAGACACAAAGACTCCCAGCTTGGAGCAAGTCTAGACTAAAAGTGTTAGAGAAGCAATGGATTGTAACCAAAGTCTAGTATGAGCTGGTCTGACACACGTGGCAGTTTGACTCCTGTGGAGGTAAAGGCATCAAGCTCTATCAGCATGCGACTCCTGTAAGGCTCTGACTCACTTCCCAGCCCTTGGCATGAGAGCCCATCACCCATCAGGAGAATCTGAATGGCATTCAGTTCCATATTCACAGAAGAGGCAAATCGGTTTCACAAACACCCATAGTCACATTAAACTAATGTTGTTAGTTTGAGTTTTATTGCTGTTTGCAATTGTGTTTAATTTACACATTTGGTTTTTGTTTTGCACTTGTAAAGCAACTATAAGCTTAGCTGTTTGTGTTTGTGCTGCTTTATTTCCACAGCAATAACTGAAGTCAAGGCAGGGTCCATAGGAATGTTTCTTGGCCTTTGAAAAGAATAGTAGTCAAGTTTGCCAAACATTGCTTTAGGGAATTCTCACTCTCTTTTCCCAAGACTGATGGCACCCCAGCTCAGTAGTCCTTGAGGGTGTGCTTGGAGGGACTGCAGTAAGTCCAGCAGCAGATGGTACATAAATCCTCAGGAGTCAGGAGTCATTTGTGAGCCTCTTCACAGGGTCCTTGTGCTTGGCCCGAGCTAGGTGTTAGCATGGCCCAGTGCAGAGCAGCAGGTAACACACACACACACACACACACACACACACACACACACACAAATGTATGCACACACATGCACACATGAGCTCTGGCTTCTGGTACCCAGGCTGTGGGCTGTAGACCTGACATTTTCATGAATCTCTTTACTCTGTCTTTTCTAAAGCTCAGCACATCCTCTTTGTCCCTGTGCCCAGCTCATTTTTCTGTGGGACCTTCTGGTCACAGGGAGGGAAGCATTTGAGGCTGAAAGTAGCACCACATCCCCACACGCCTGACTCTTTCTGCAAAACCTTCTGACATGTGCCCACATCACCCTCTGTGCTCAGGCCAGAGACCACCCTGTGTTCACCAAAAGTGAGTTGCTTGCTCCCAAATGTATTTATGCTATTACCAGCATTTACATCAACAAATGTGGACAGAGTGCTCACCACGTGCTTGTGCCCCTAAGGACCCCACCTGGGAAGCCTCCCTACCTGAAATGTGGACCTCCCTGAGCCTTTGTGGCTGCTGTCTTCCTGTCTCTGTCTCCTGCTCTTCAGAATCTATATTCATTTTTTCAGGTTGCCGTAATCCACAGGCCAGGTGGCTTAAACTATAAAAAACGTATTGTCTCACAGTTCTGTGACACAGTTGGAGATCAAGGTGTCACTGGGTTGGTTTCTTCTGAGCTTCTTTTTTCCACTCACAGATGCCATCTTCTCCTTGTGTCTTCATGCAGTCTTCTCTCTGTGTGTGCCTGGGTCCTAATCTCCTCTTCTTATAAAGACTCTGGTCATATTGGATTAGGCACTCCCATATGAATTTACCTCTTTAAAAGCCTTAACTCCAAATACAGTCACATTTTGAGGTGCTAGGGATTAGGATTCAACATATGATTTTTTGAGACAGAGTTTCGCTCTGTCACCCAGGCAGGAGTGCAGTGGCATGATCTCAGCTCACTGCAACCTCCGCCTCCCAGGTTCAAGTGATTCTCCCACCTCAGCCTCCCAAGTAGCTGGGACTACAGGCACCCACCACCATGCCCAGCTAATTTTTGTATTTTTAGTAGAGATGGGGTTTCGCCATGTTGGCCAGGCTAGTCTCAAACTCCTGACCTCAAGTGATCCGCCCACCTCGGCCTCCCAGAGTGCTGGGATTACAGGCGTGAGCCACCATGCCCAGCCCTCAACATACGAATTTTGAGAGGACACAATTTAACCCATTACTGAGCACCACAGAAATTCTCATGAAAGGTCTGTCAGGACTCCACCATTTTGACATGACCCTCGTTTTCCCCCACAATCCCCCTTCCAGGACCCCATTGTGATGTCACATTTCAGGTCAAAGCATTACATGTTATTCTTAACACCTGCCACTTCTCTCTTCCCACCTCTATCTGCCTTATTGAACTTCATCTTTCCTTCATTCTCTTCAACTTCCACTTCTTCTTGTATGGTCCTGTTGATGCCATCTTGTTTCCGTCCCCAGACTCATCATCTTTACCCTCTGTCAACTGAGTTCCCACCCTGGTTCTCTCTCAAGATCTTCCTCTCATAGCTTTCACCCTTGGTAAACAATGAGGACACATCTCAAAAAGAATGATGTAATTTAATTGCCTTGAGTTGGCTGGGCCATCATCTATTATAAAGTGCTCTTAAAATTAAAGCTAATTTAATTCTGAAGAACTAAGGATTAAGAAGTTAAGAGCTGGGGTTCTTACAATATGGCTTGCAGACTACAAGTGTGAACTGAGGAGGTCCCCAAAGTCACTTCTTACTAAGGTAATATTTTGTTTGTTTTTTTTAGAGAGAGGGTCTTGCTCTGTCACCCAGGCTGGAGTGCAGTGTTGCAATCATAGCTCACTGCAGCCTCTACCTCTTTGGTACTAGCCATCCTCCCACCTCAGCCTCCCCAGTAGCTAAGAGTATAGGTGCACACAAAGTAATGCTTGATTAAATGTTTTATTGCCTTTTTATTCTAAAAGCTATACTTGATCAATATAGAAAATATAAAATAATAAAAACTACAGAAGAAATAAAATTTATCAACAATTACTAACTAAAAATAATCACTTAGACATTTCATCACTCTTGCAATATTTCTGTTAATAGCTACTTATCTAGTGGATGGAATATTTTCCATGTTATTTCCTAATTAGTCATGTCTAATATAAAAGGAAGTTCTTGAAATCCATCTTATATATTGATCCTTTGATTATTTTTTCCATAATTTTAATTAATTCATTTGCACTTTCAAAGTATATTATCTTTTTCTGAAAATTATTTTCTGTCTATTGTATACAACATTTCTGTTTCACATCTTATGCATTGGTTGTAACTTCTAGAACAATGTCAAATAAAAATTGTAATAAATGACATTTTTTATCTGATTTTAATGGAAGTACATGTAGATATTTTGCTATTTTGTTTGAGATATTCTATGTTATCTGAAAAAAATCTTATTCTTAGTTTCTAAGGAACTTATTACAGGAATGGTTGTTGTACTTATTATAAGTCTTTTAAATTGAGATACAATTCACATACTACAATTCAGTGGTTTATGGCATATTCACAAAGTTGTGTAACCATTGCCACTAATTCCAGAACGTTTTCATCACCCTAAGAAGAAATCCCATACCTGTTAGCAGTCTGTCCCATTCCTCCCATTCCCCTGAATCCCTGGCAACCACTAATCTGCTTTCTGTCTCTATAAATTTGCCTATTTGAATATTTCATTGACATGAAATTATACGTTATGTTGCCTTTTGTGTCTGGCTTCTTTCGCTTCACAGGTTTTCAAGGTTCATCCGTATATAACATGGGATCAGTTCTTCATTTTATGGCTGAACTATATTCCATTGTATGGATATGCTATATTTTGTTTATTCTTTCATCATCTGATAAACATGTAGGTTGTTTTTACTTTCTGTATTAGGTGAATTATGTGTATTATGAATAATGTTGCTGTGAATATTCATGTACAAGTTTTTATGTGGACATATGTTTTCAATTCTCAGAATTTACATCTATGTTTTCTCTAAGAGTTTTATAGTTTTGACTACTACAGTTAAGTCTTTGATTTTTAGGGTTTTTTTTTTTTTATATGTTGTGAGGTAGGGATCCAATGTCACCTTTTTGCATACAGATATCCAGTTGTCCCAGCACAATTTGCTGAAAAGATTATTCTTTCCCCCATTAAATTATCTTGGCACTCTTGAAAAATCAACTGACCATAAGTGCATTGGTTTATTTCTGATTGTTTTTAATATCTACTGAGAAAATCATAAGAATTTTCTTTCAATACAAAGCACTGTTAGAATTAATAATTTTTAACTATCTTTAGTCAAGAGATGACCCAAATTGAGTTATGATGAAATACTCTTTATTTTTGAGACAGTCTCACTCTGTTGCCTAGGCTATAGGAGTGCAGTGGCACAATCATGGCTCACTGCAGCCTCAGTCTCCGAGGCTCAAGTCATCTTCCACCTCAGTCTGCTAAGTAGCTGGGACTACAGATGCGCACCACCATGCCTAGCTAATTTTTGTATTTTTTGTTTTTTGTAGAGATGGGGTTTTGCCATTTTGCCCAGGCTTGTCTCAAACTGCTAGGCTCAAGCGATCCACCTGCCCTTGGCCTCCCAAAGTGCTGGGATTACAGGCGTGAGTCCACCATGCCAGGCCAGTCATGGTGAATTATTGTTTTTGTAGTCTGTTAAACTAGATTAGCTATTATTTTGTGTTAATAAGTGAGATCGACATATTGCCTACTTTTTTAGTGCCATCTTTTTCAGGCTTTGTTATGAGGTTTATGTAGGTTTTATAACATAAGCTCCATCTTCTATAGTTTGGGAAAATAAAGGGTTTAAAGTGGTTCACAATTTAAAATGTTTGAGGTCCCCTGACACCTCTGGAAGGATTTCCCTTGCTCCTGTCTGTGAGGTCCCAGGTATCTGCAAAATTATGTCTAAACCACAAATGAATGTTTAACTCAGTTGAGTTTCAGTTATAGTTAAAGAACAAGTCACAACCTTAAGAATAATGTTATTCTCTTCTTCTCCATCCGTGTCAGCTGAAGTTATCCTTTACATTAATAGTTTGCTTACCCGAGGTTGCTGTCATCTTTCATTTTTCCTGAACACTCATCATGTTTCTCTTCATCTGCAGCTGCTGCTACTTAATCTAAAGAAAATGCAGCCTGTGCAGTTGACATATTTGCTTTCCTAAATACCTTGCATCTGTCTTTACACTGAAGTTTGCCTCTCTGTGTGACAATTAGAACATAGGCTTGGAGCCAAGCTGGTGTACACCAGCCATATGACCTTTGTAGGGTCTTTGCTTACTCACCAACAGAACACGGACAATAGTAGGATCCACCTCATTGGACTGTGGAGAGCACTGAATGATTTACTATTCACAAAGTGTTTAAAATGATGCTTTGCCCTTAGAATACAGAATTTAGCACTTAAAAACACTTGTCTCTTACAGGCTGAAATTTCAGAGCTTAGATATTATGCCTCATTTCAATTCTCTCCCATACTGATTTTTTAAAAATAAAACTTTCTGTGTCCGTGTGTTCTCATTGTTCAATTCCCACCTATGAGTGAGAATATACGGTGTTTGGTTTTTTGTTCTTGCGATAGTTTACTGAGAATGATGATTTCCAATTTCATCCATGTCCCCACAAAGGACATGAACTCATCATTTTTTATGGCTGCATAGTATTCCATGGTGTATATGTGCCACATTTTCTTAATCCAGTCTGTCATTGTTGGACATTTGGGTTGGTTCCAAGTCTTTGCTATTGTGAATAGTGCCGCAATAAACATACGTGTGCATGTGTCTTTATAGCAGCATGATTTATAGTCCTTTGGGTATATACCCAGTAATGGGATGGCTGGGTCAAATGGTATTTCTAGTTCTAGATCCCTGAGGAATCGCCACACTGACTTCCACAATGGTTCAACTAGTTTACAGTCCCACCAACAGTGTAAAAGCGTTCCAATTTCTCCACATCCTCTCCAGCACCTGTTGTTTCCTGATTTTTTAATGATTGCCATTCTAACTGGTGTGAAATGGTAACTCATTGTGGTTTTGATTTGCATTTCTCTGATAGCCCGTGATGGTGAGCATTTTTTCATGTGTTTTTTGGCTGCATAAATGTCTTCTTTTGAGAAGTGTCTGTTCATGTCCTTCACCCACTTTTTGATGGGGTTGTTTGTTTTTTTCTTGTAAATTTGTTTGAGTTCATTGTAGATTCTGGATATTAGCCCTTTGTCACATGAGTAGGTTGTGAAAATTTTCTCCCATTTTGTAGGTTGCCTGTTCATTCTGATGGTAGTTGCTTTTGCTGTGCAGAAGCTCTTTAGTTTAATTAGATCCCATTTGTCAATTTTGGCTTTTGTTGCCATTGCTTTGGTGTTTTAGACATGAAGTCCTTGCCCATGCCTATGTCCTGAATGGTAATGCCTAGGTTTTCTTCTAGGGTTTGTATGGTTTTAGGTCTAACACGTAAGTCTTTAATCCATCTTGAATTAATTTTTGCATAAGGTGTAAGGAAGGGATCCAGTTTCAGCTTTCTACATATGGCTAGCCAGTTTTCCCAGCACCATTTATTAAATAGGGAATCCTTTCCCCACTGCTTGTCTTTCTCAGGTTTGTCAAAGATCAGATAGTTGTAGATATGTGGCGTTATTTCTGAGGGCTCTGTTCTGTTCCATTGATCTATATCTCTGTTTTGGTACCAGTACCATGCTGTTTTGGTTACTGTAGCCTTGTAGTATAGTTTGAAGTCAGGTAGTGTGATGCCTCCAGCTTTGTTCTTTTGGCTTAGGATTGACTTGGCAATGCAGGCTCTTTTTTGGTTCCATATGAACTTTAAAGTAGTTTTTTCCAATTCTGTGAAGAAAGTTATTGGTAGCTTGATGGGGATGGCATTGAATCTATAAATTACCTTGGGCAGTATGGCCATTTTCACAATATTGATTCTTCCTACCCATGAGCATGGAATGTTCTTCCATTTGTTTGTATCCTCTTTTATTTCCTTGAGCAGTGGTTTGTAGTTCTCCTTGAAGAGGTCCTTCATGTCCCTTGTAAGTTGGATTCCTAGGTATTTTATTCTCTTTGAAGCAATTGTGAATGGGAGTTCACTCATGATTTGGCTCTCTGTTTGTCTGTTATTGGTGTATAAGAATGCTTGTGATTTTTGTACATTGATTTTGTATCCTGAGACTTTGCTGAAGTTGCTTATCAGCTTAAGGAGATTTTGGGCTGAGACGATGGGGTTTTCTAGATATACAATCATGTCATCTGCAAACAAAGACAATTTGACTCCCTCTCTTCCTAATTGAATACCCTTTATTTCCTTCTCCTGCCTAATTGCCCTGGCCAGAACTTCCAACACTATGTTGAATAGGCATGGTGAGAGAAGGCATCCCTGTCTTGTGCCAGTTTTCAATGGGAATGCTTCCAGTTTTTGCCCATTCAGTATGATATTGGCTGTGGGTTTGTCATAGATAGCTCTTATTATTTTGAGATATGTCCCATCAATACCTAATTTATTTAGAGTTTTTAGCATGAAGAGTTGTTGAATTTTGTCAAAGGCCTTTTCTGCATCTATTGAGATAATCACGTGGTTTTTGTCTTTGGTTCTGTTTATATGCTTGATTACATTTATTGATTTGCGTATATTGAACCAGCCTAGCATCCCAGGGATGAAGCCCACTTGATCATGGTGGATAAGCTTTTTGATGTGCTGCTGGATTCGGTTTGCCAGTATTTTATTGAGGATTTTTGCATCAATGTTCATCAAGGATATTGGTCTAAAATTCTCTTTTTTGGTTGTGTCTCTGCCCGGCTTTGGTATCAGGATGATGCTGGCCTCATAAAATGAGTTAGGGAGGATTCCCTCTTTTTCTATTGATTGGAATAGTTTCAGAAGGAATGGTACCAGTTCCTCCTTGTACCTCTGGTAGAATTCGGCTGTGAATCCATCTGGTCCTGGACTCTTTTTGGTTGGTAAGCTATTGATTATTGCCACAATTTCAGAGCCTGTTATTGGTCTATTCAGAGATTCAACTTCTTCCTGGTTTAGTCTTGGGAGGGTGTATTTGTCGAGGAATTTATCCATTTCTTCTAGATTTTCTAGTTTATTTGAGTAGAGGTGTTTGTAGTATTCTCTGATGGTAGTTTGTATTTCTGTAGGATCTGTGGTGATATTCCCTTTGTTGTGGGGTTGGGGGAGGGGGGAGGGATAGCTTTAGGAAATATACCTAATGCTAAATGATGAGTTAATGGGTGCAGCACACCAGCATGGCACATGTATACATATGTAACTAACCTGCACATTGTGCACATGTACCCTAAAACTTAAAGTATAATAATAATAAAATTAAAAAATAAATAAATAAAAATAAAAATAAAACTATTCTCCTCATTAGTACTCACTATTTCTGGCTCAGGAGACTCTCCTTCCCTTACAGTGTCCCTTGGACTTTACCTGCCTATGAAGCCCCCACAAACACCAGATAGCTCTTCCGAGAAGAGTTTCATAAAACTGGGGCTGTTTTTACTTCCTGCTGATCCTCAAGCTCCTTTCACACCAAATTCAAAAGGTTTGTGGCCTCTGCTGCACCTTTAGAAGGCTGTTAAGTTATCATCCCCACCTCTGATGCCTTTTCTAAGATGACCTCATGGCTTCCTGCTGCACTTGCACCAGCAGAAGGAATGCATCCCACATGAAGCCCATGGAAAGCACCATGGCCACAGCTCACCACATACAGGCAGATGATCTCTCTTCTGAGCTCCACACCCTTACGAGTAGCACCCTTCTGAATGTTTCTGTCTCAAGCTCAGCTTGTTCAAAGGTGGGTTTATCAGCATCCCAAGCAAACCTTCTCCTTCTCTATTGTCTGCAAATGGCTCCGACATTTTGCCACCCAGAAAAAAACCCTAGCAGTCATTCTGGATTCCTTCCTCTCACCATCCTCATCACACACTAGCCACACTTTATGGTTCAATCTTCTAAATTTCCCCTGAATTCACCCTGCCACCCACACTTTAGCTGAACCCCTTGTCACCAACGATGCTGGCTGTCATCCACTCTTGACCCTTTTCGCCAGAGTGATCTTCACAAACGCAAATCTGACTTCAGATTTCTCCAGAGCTCCTTGTAGTTTTCAGGATGGATGGTCAAGTTCCCTAATTTTGACCCCAAAGCCCTATGTGACTAACTGCCCATCTGCATGCAACAAGGAGCTCGGAGCCGCCCTTTTCAAGGCCGGTTTCTCCATGTCAGCTCAGCCCCCTCTCTCCTGCTTGGCTCCTCTCCTTAGATTTCCCCATTTTTCCACCTTATCTGTCTCTTCCTTTCTATTGGATCATTTCCATTGGCATAAACTTGGTCTCTCTGCCATCTTTGTCCAGCTACAACCATTGTTGCTTTCCTTTCTAATCATACTTGCCTGCAGAGATGTCCAATGCTTACCTCCAGCAGTTTGCTTCATGTCTGCTGCTGAACATTGCCCGTCTGACCTCTGCCCTTCCCAGCTGCTGAGACTGCTCTCCTCAGAACTGTCAGCAACCTCGTGCATCAAATGAAATGCGCTGTGTCCTCAGCTCACTCCAACTCTCCTTAGCATTCGACACTGCTCACCACTCCTGAAAATTATCTTTTCTTATTTTTGTTGACTTTGAAGAAAATTCCTAAGAAATGCTCCTCACTCCATTCCTCCCTACTTCACAGGGCTCACCCTAACTCTACCCCAGCACCCTAGTTAGTGTCATCCATCCACTGTTGTGGTTTTTCAATATGGTACCATTTATTTGCAGTTAACTTTCTCATTTACATTTCCAATCTAGACTTATCTTCTAAATAACATGAACTTCCCACTCAACATCTCTGCTCAAATGTGCCATTGGCATTTAGAACTGACCATGTCTCAACTCACCTCTGTCACCTGCCTCCCAGCACTTATGCCTGTATGTCTACGTGCAGACACATGCTGATATGCATGTCCAACACAGACATGCATGCTCACACACAAACACTGGCACACACACACTCATATGGAAATCACCCTCCAAATTTCCCCATATCAGTTAATGCACAGCCACCCACATTTGCTCCTCCTAGGAACTTGGGAATCCACCATGACAAACCCCTTTCTTCTACCCCCACCTGCACCCTTCCCCAAGGCCTTTGGATTCTATTCCCCAAATAAGTCTTGAAGGCATCCATTCTTCTCCTTCTTGGCTTGGGATAGCCTGGTCCAAGTCACCACCATTCCTGGCCTGGACTTCCTCAACAGCCTCCTAATTGATCTCTCCACTTCTCATCTTCTTCTTTTGCTGCTATCCCAATCCATATCCCACACACTGTGGAGTGAGCTTTTTAAAATACAAATCTGATCATGTCACTTCTTAAAACCATCCACACTTAGAATAAGGCATATGCTAAGGCAGCGTGATTGGGAAAGGACCCTCTGAAAAAGAGATATTTAAGCTGCAACCTCAAAGATGAGCAAGGGGACAGCCAGAAGAGACACAGACAAGGGTGCGTTCTACTTGGGGAAGACAGCAAGGGCAAAGGCCCTGAAGCAGAAACACTTGAATCCTTTAAGGAAAGAAAGGGGCCCATGTGGTTGGAGCATGGTGAGTGAGGCACAGAATGCTAAGACATGGTGTGGAGAAAGTAGCAAAGGCCCGGCCACACAGGACCCTTTAGGTCATGAAATGGGAACTTTCATAATTATTTTACATGCATGCCCTCAGGCTATAAGCTCCACAGAGCAGCATCCATGTTTGCCTTTTTCCCTTTGTTCACTTATTCCCCATGTCCACTTCAATGTCTGGCACATCTTTATAAATTATATGAGAGACAAATACCCCCAGCATTCCAGCCAGATGAAGTAGCTAGCAATTCCCCAAATGTATCATGTCTGTTTCTTCTCCTCACAGCCTTGTTCCTGTCTAGCTCAGTGATTCTCAACCAGGGGTGATTTTGTCCCTAGGGAACATCTGTTAATTTCTGAAGACATTTGTGATTTTCACAACTGTGGGGCAGGGGATGCTGCTGGAATCGGATGGGTAGAGGCCAGGGATGCCAGTAAACATCTTGCAGCAGACAGGACAGCCCCCGCGGCAAATAATTAGCATGCAGGGTCAACAGTGCTGGTTGAGGAACCCTGGTCTAGCTTTTCCTTTAAGCCCCCGGGAGCATCATCTTTTTTGGAAAGTTCTTTATCCTGATCAAACAGCTTGAACTTGGGGCCCCTCATCTAGGCTCCCCAAACCTCCTTGATGTCATTCATCCCCTTGCCTTGCAATTGCCCATTCTAACTGTCTCTCACTGGAAGCAACAGAGGCTGGACTATGTCTTCCATCAGCATCTCAAACACACAGTGGTCCACAATTAATTTTTCTTGAATGAACACAGCCCCCTGAGACAGGGAGAAGGATGAAGATGAATTTCATGGCACCATTTAAAAATGTATAGTTGACATAGATGAACTCATAGGTCAGAAGGACATCCCCAGCCTCCTGCTCTACCTTGAGAAGCTGCCTGTCTCCAGGTGTTTCTGCTAGTTTGTAACCTATGGAAATGGCAACTTCCCATGTGTCCAATATGACAGCATGGTTCACTCAGTTAGTCACTGCATTCAATTTTGTGTTATTCAAGTTTAATCCCAATAACATAAGACATAGAACTAGGGCATATGACAGATTTGTAATAGTGAAAAAAATAGGGCTGGAGAGTAATTTGCAGTTGGCTGTCCTGTGACCCACATATACTTAGCAAGTGTGGACCTGCCTGATCCACCGGCAAAAATAGAAATCCCTCTGGCCATGCGTTTGTGGGTTTCAGATGTTGTGCCTGCCATCAGAAACACTCAAAGCCCTCTCGTTTGGGTTTTGAAATGGACTCTGGTGGAGATGCTGTGCCTAGGGCAGGAAGGGGGTTCCTTCCAGTCTCCTGGCCCTCCTTGCTCTACACTCCATGCCTTTCCTTCCCCCTGACCCTGGTCCTCTCTCCCTGCCCTAGTGGCTCTGATACTGCTGGCTGGGGAAGGAGCAGTCCCAGGCCCTGGAGGTGAGGGCAGGGTTGGGTATCTCCCCTCTGGCTCACTGCTTCTCCTGCTGCTGTGCTGAGAGCACCTCACCCTGGGGCCGGGAACATTCGCTGTTGTCTGAAGGACTCTGCTCCTCCTCCAGCTGTTGGTCATGTGCTTGGCCCTGAGCCCGCCTTCTCTCCAGCATCTCCTCAAAAAAGATCTGACAGCTGAAGCCCTCCCGGATGCCATGCTGGGCGTGCTCCAGCAGAGCGTCCAGGGAGGGCAAGACCCTGCAGCAGGCCACGCAGCGCACCCCGTAGTTGGTGGTGACCAGCCAGTCCGGCGGCTCCCGCAGCTCCTGCAGGCAGCACTCCAGCAGGTCTATGTCCTCGGGCTCGGGGCTGCAGTTGCTCTTGCAGGCTTCCAGGTCCCAGCGCATATCGGTGTTGGAAGCCATTTCGAAGGAGGAGCCGTTCCACCTCTGCCTCTTGATGAACTGGGCTTCATGGATGCGGGGCTTCCTGGTGACCGGCTCGAAGCCGGCCTCCGTCTCCCAGGCCACAGCCACACCCCGCACAGTCTGCACGTGCGTGTAGAAGGCACACACACTCTGCGGAGCAGCATTGTCCTCATCGCACATGCAGGAGCAGCACGACTGGTACTGGGAGTAGGACTGGTACTCGGAGGACTCTGAGGATGGGGAGCTGCTCCAGTCCCGCATCCCCCGGTCCCTGGCAGCGAAGTAGAGGCCCTCCTCCCGGGGAATGGCAGGCCCCGGCCGTGGGGACGACCCTTCTCTCTGTATAGTCCCTGAGAAGCAGAAGGACATTGTCATCAGTGCCCTTTAAGGGATCAATGCCACATCTACCTTCAGGAGCCGCAGACTCTGAAAGGGTACAGGCTCTGGGAGCTCTTGAGCAAACACCGCCCCCTCTGCCCATTTCCTGAAAAAATGAAGATGGTGATAATGCCTGCTTCATAGGGTGTGGTAATGATTGAATAATGTATGAATGCAATCACCAAATCCTTGACTCAACTGAGAAAGACCATTAAATGGTGAATAACAGAGTTATATACACATTAGGGATATGATGATAAGGATCAAATAATGTATTAGAGTAATCACCAAGCAAAAGACCATCAACTGGGGAATAGGTAAGCTGACTGAGGTGTATCCATATGATGCAACCTGTTAAATCCATGAACCACTGAGACGTGCAACAATACGGATGAATCCTGAATGCATTATGCTAAATAAAAGAAGCCAATTAAAAAGGCCATGTAGTCATAAGAGAATGTGAACAAAAAAAAAAAAGAGTCCATGTCGTATATGATTTTATTCAGATGACATTCTAGAAAAGGCAAATTTTTAGCAACAGAGAACAGCTCAGTGGTTGCCCAGAGCTGGGGACGGGGTGAGAGGAGACTGGTCATAATAAGGCACAAGGGGACTTTTAGGGGTTTTGAAAAATCTTCTTTATCATGACTGTGTTGGTGGTTCCACAAATGTACATGTGTCAAACTTCTTTAAATTGTGCATTTAAAATTGCTGAAGTCTGTGTGCATAAAAGACACCTCAGTAAAGCCCATTTAAAAAACAACACATGCAAAGTGCCTTGGCCAAGC
This sequence comes from Homo sapiens, assembly GCF_000001405.40. Classification (NCBI taxonomy): domain Eukaryota; kingdom Metazoa; phylum Chordata; class Mammalia; order Primates; family Hominidae; genus Homo; species Homo sapiens. The sequence goes on from NC_000010.11 coordinate 49,133,169, forward strand.
CACCCAGACCCACCATCCTCTTCAACATTTGTGACCTGTCTTCACCTTCCCGAGGGGGCATCTCACTATCTCCTTCAACACTTACTGTGTCCCTCTTGCCATGGAAGTGCTTGCCAAGTTTAATATTCAAAACAACCCTAAGAAATTATATTGTTAGGATTCCCATTCAACAGAGTAGGAAAGAGAGGCATGGAGTTTGAATGAGTGGTGGAGCCATTGGGCCCCCAGAGCTGGTGTGACACTTAGGTGCTGCCCACAGACACGTCCCCGCGGTCTTCAAATTGATGTTCTAGATTAACTTTCATCATTTTGTTATAAAGGAATTTTTTATTTCACTGCTGAAATCACAGGATGGACGTGTTGTTTTCTCAAATACACATTAAAATAAATACATAATTATAAACATTTTACATTTTCATTCTCATATCCCCTGAAAACACCTTATATACTCATAACAGCCTCAGTCACACCAAGTGTCCCATAAATATCAATTTCCTTTCCCTCCACATCTATGTTTATGGTCAACACAACCATTTGGTAACAGTATCAGGAGGCAACCTGGCACTGTCCCTTCCCATCAGGGCTTCCTTCCCAGGGAGCACAGCTGGCTGACCTTCCAGGCCTTTCTTTTCACCTACCTGGCCAGAACACTTCCACACTCTCCTCAGTGGACTCAGGGCTGGTCAAGCTGAGGGTGGTCCCATCGGTGGGTGACTGTTCTCCCCTGTGATCTGTGAAGTAGCATTTCATGATTTGAAATGAGTGCCCAGGGTGTCGGTGCTCCAGCTGTTCAGTGAGAGTTGGCTGGGGCTGTACTGAAGGCCTCCAGCTGGCCCCAGCCAGAGTGGACACTGAGCTCCCCATGGTCGCTAAGATCCTAGCTCTACTGTGTGACCTCATCGATGGCACTGGTCTGTTCTGTGACCCATGGCGAGGGCAGAGGCTGAGGCTGGATACCAGGAGAGGCTTCCCAACATGTTCTCATTTCCCCATGGGAACTCCTTTTCTGTCTTGTGTATTATCATGGACACACAGAAACACAAAACACACATACTCTTAACTCCTTAGACACACATAAAAACACAAACACATAAACACAGAGACACTTGTATACACTTAAGCATGCATGGAACCGCTGTCTTAGTCCATCTGTGTGGCTTACAAAGGGATACCTGAGGTTGGGTAATTTATAAAAGAAAGAAGTGTATTGGGCTCATGTTTCTGCAGCCTGTACACAAAGCATAGTGCCAGCATCTGCTTCTGGTGAGGGCCTTAGGAAGCTTCCATTCTCAGCAAATGGGGAAGGGGAGCAGGTGTGTTTAGATCACATGGGTAAGAGAGGAAGGAAGAAAGAGTGGAGGAAGTGACAGGCTCTTTTCAACACTCAGTTCTCACAGAACTAAGAGTGAGAACTCTTTACCACGAGGGTGGCACTGAGCCCTTCATGAGGGATTTGTCCCCGTCACCCAAACACCTCCCTCTACGCCCACCTCTCACATTGGATATCAAATTTCAACATGAGATTTGAAGGGGACACATGTCCATACTATGTCACTCACACACAAAGAAACGCATACATGATCACTCAGACACACATATACGCTGGAACACATATGGCACACACAGTAACATAAACATATGTACGTGTGTTCACATAGACACATAACATGCTCACACATACAAATTCACACACATATTTACTTAACCACACACACATACATGCACACAAATTCATGCCAGATTAATTAACCATACATAGGCTCACATACATACAGTCAGCAGCCAACATAAAATGACCCTGCTTCCCAGTGTGGAAAATCTCTCCTTCTCTCCCCCATCTTACGTCCCCACGCTGACCCTGTTTAGCTCCTCAACCCTCCACAACCCCACCCCACCCCTCCCCTCCCCTCTCCTCTACTCACTCCCTTGCTCAGTTCCTGTGACTCCAGACACTTCACTGCTCCCGGACATGCCCGGCATCCTCCCCTCACGGGCTCTGGGCTCTCGCACTTGCTCTTCCTTGTGCCTGTTCCAGGCTTTCCCCTAGGTTCCTGTGTGGCTCTCTCTCCTTCCGGTCTCCTCTGAAACATCACCTGGTCAGAGGAGCCTGCCTGGCACCCCCAGGAAAAGAGCTTTCTTTGGCCCTACAACTCTCTGTCACCTTACCCTGCTTTATTTTTCCATGATAGCATTTACCACCCTAGGCTGTATATAATGTCTGTGTGTGTATCTCATGGGTTTACCTGTATCTGTCTTCTCCTCCTTAGATGTAAGCTTAGGCAGGTAGGGACTTCCTTCGTTCCATCCACCTCATTATATCTCTAGTGTCTAGATCAATGTTTTACATATTAACAAGCACTCAGGAAATAATGAGTAAATAGCTGATGAACACGTTGGGCTGAAAAAGGCGTTACTCCCTCTGGGAGCTGCCTCCTCTGTGCTCCCTGGATCTCTGCAGTTCCAGGGTGGTTGGTTCTCTCCCACTAGGACTCTGGGAGTTGCCTCTTCCTTCTCCATTTGCACAAACCACGCTTCAGCCTCAATCAGCCTGATAAAATGTTCACCTGCCATCTCTCTGCTCTGCAACACGCTGGCACTTCACTCATTTCCTCCAACAAGCTTCTTACCACTTCCCTCTGTGGCTAATCTCTTCCCACCCTTGGTCAGTCTCATCAACTCTATTCCTTTGAATCCCAAATACTAAACAGTTCAGATAGGTGATGGATTGAAAATAATCCCAATATTCCACAAGCAACATCAACATCCCCCACACACCCAGCACCGAGGAATACCCTCCTCTCTAGAATGTGAGGCCACTGTGTGGAGGAAGACACCACGGTGCTCTACTGAGCCATGAAAGTCACGCCTGACCTAAACAGAAGACTACGTCCCCTGGCTAAAAGAGGAAATAGTGTAAGTGCACCCTTTTTTAACAAATAAATACAAAGACTTGCCTTACAAAAACAAGAGGGGGCAGCCAGCACAGAAAATAAGTAGGTCATTGGGGGATGGAAGGCAGTTCAGAGAGAGATGACATCATGGAGAATTGTTAAGCGGCAAAGTAAACAGCAAGTCTGGGAGGAAAGGAGACTCAGCCAACAAATTATGCTGAAAAATTATATTCGCTATTTTTTTGAATCAACTTTGGTCTCACTTCATGTAAAACAATTAAGAATATTTTCATAATGGTTCAGAGCTTACGCTTTAATGAAAAATGTGTAGAAAGAAAATATGTTAACATTTGTAATTACAAGGTGCTTTTTCTCAACTTAAACAATATTAGTCTTCGCAAGCATTGAGAAACTTTGTCATCTTTTCTAATTTCACTGCTTTAAAAAACTCACTGTTTCAATTTGCATTCCTCTGCTTTTCAGTGGAACTGGAAAAAAAAGCAAATGAGCAAGCAGTTTCCAGGGGAAGAAATGCAGAGGGATGATAAATATATGAGAAGATGTTGAGTCCTACTGTAATAAGGGAGCTACAACTTAAAAATGTGTAGTATACAGTATAGCACTTTTCACCCATGAGATAGGTAAGAGTTAAAAAGATGGACAATACCCAGTGCTGGTGAGGACGTAAGGAAATGAACACTTTTATTCTCTGTTGGAACAGTGTACCTTAACTTTCTCAAAAAGTTTGGTGGTACCCATTAGAATTAAAAGTGGGCAGGCACTTCCTAAGCAGTTTACTATCATCTCTTTCCTAGGGAACAGCCACATTACATGATATGTGCATAAAATAGCACCTAGAGAAATATTTATTGCAGCATTGTGTATAATAGAAATAAAGACAGGAGACTTTCCTAAGATCCATCAAAATAAAGAAACTACAACATAATCAAACTGTGGAATACTACACCACGATAAAAAGAAAGAGATCTATACATACTGATAAGTGAATTCATGTTAAATGAAAACACAAGATACAAGGAATAGATAGATGACCCCACCTATGTAAAAATCAAACATACTCCCTCAAAAGCACTGACCAAATTCTATATTGTCTATGTATCAAAAGGCACAGAGGAGATCTGAAAATAATCACACCCAAGAGAAAACAGTGTTGACCTCAAGAAAGAGGAAAAAGATTAGGTGGGGCTGTGTGAGACCAAATTTTCCAAAGATGGCCAAACCAATCTATATCACAACCCACATGCTCTTCTGATAACACGACAGCGTCCTTCTTCCTGAACTGGGGTGGATTTTGTAACTGCCTCAATCAACAGAATGCACAGGAGTGATGTTTTGTGACTGTCAGTGCCAGATCATAAAAGATGTGACTTCCTCCTGGTTCTGTCTCCCTTCTCCTTTGGACTCAGCCACTATGTTGTGAGGAAGCCTAGGCCACATGGAGAGGCCACATAGATGTGTTCCAGGCAGCAGCCCCAGCAAAGGTCTCAATCAACCACCATATGTGTGAGTGAAGGAACCTTCAGATAATTTTGCTTCCCAGACTTCAAGTCTTTCAGCTGGGGTCCAAGACATCACAAGGCAGAGACAAGCCCTCCTGGAATTCCCCACCCACCGTGAGCATAAGAAAACTGTGAGCATAAGAAAAGGTGTTTTACACACTAGTTTCTGGGGCAATTTGTTACAGGGCATGGTAATTCAATGGACTTTGATTTTCCCTTGTAATATTTAAATATGTTCTAGTGAGCTAGTTCGTTAACCAGCATCTGTGCTCTGTGCTTCTTCCTGGCCCAGTCAGGGAAACCTGGGGGCCAGGTGAGCCCTGTGGTTTTCCCAGGACAACTTGGGAGGATGGTTCCCATTCTTACCCCATAGGAAACAACTTACTAGATTGCAATGTTTATATACGGTTGCTTTTGTAAAGGCAAAAGCTTTACAATTTGGGATCCAAACGATGTTTTCCAAAGTCCCTTGAGTCGGGTCTTTCTTTACCCAGAATCTATATACGTTCTTCCTAATCCTCTCAAAAATTATACACTGTGAACCCTCCTTAGAGATAGGGAGCTTGGCACTTCAGAGGGGTTTGATGAACCTTGGGTGGGAAAGCTGGGAGAGAAGTGGCTTCCATCTCACGCCTGGGGGCAGGGCTGCATGGCCAGGTTGCTCTGATGTTTCCTATGGGCTACTTCCCTGGGGCTAGTTTGGAGTGAAGCCCCTCAGATGGTGAGCGATTGTCCTCCTCACTCACATGGCCTCTGGCTGTTTCCGTCTATGGGAAGAGCCTCTGCCCCAGCCGCTCTGCTTGCTCCATGCAGATGTTCAGCTGAGACCACCCACAAAGGGCTCCCACCCATCCCCCTGCCACTCTCCAGTGGGTTTTCCAGCCCTGCCAGGAACCTCTGCGCCTCACTGCTGCAGCCAGCAGGGCTGGTGTGCAAACCCCCAAAAGGACCAACGCAGCACTTTCTTGGAGCTCTGACGCCTGGCCAGCTCATTGCACACATTGCATGCGAGCCCTAAACCTCATCCAAGAGGCCTGGAATATTTTCTACTCTTAACTTTTCTTCCAAAACCTACTCTTCCCAGCCTCTGTTTTTCCCAGCTGAGGAGGCTAACAGGAAATAAAGTGGCCACAGCCACAGCAGGAAGCAGAGAGGCCATGTCTCTCTTCACTTCTAATTCCAGAGCTTGGCTTGCGCCCCAATCTGGGCTGTGGGGAGAATCACATCATTCATTCTGGGGTCCATGGGAGTCCAGAAATAATCTGTCCATTTGGCCAAGGGGTGGTGCTTCGGTCTTAATCATGGCATTTCTGTGGCTAGAGCCACTGTGTAAAGGTGTTGCAAACGGGCAATGATCCTGCTCTTCTCTCCACACCGAAAGTGGGGCCCCTCTAAGGGGGCAGGTGCCTTGCCACCCTCCCAAAGTTATCCTATTATCAGATTTAACACCCGAGGGCAGGGGAGAAGTGGGAAGCTGCCCGGATGCTGCGCAGCAGGTTTGCATGGAGTGGGGTTGGTGGTGTTCAGAGTGGGAATTTTTCCCAGTGAAGGTCAGTCCTCAGGGCTTAGGGATGACCTCATTGTGTGCTTGGGCTGCAGAGAAAGTGCCAAAAGCTATCAGACAAACTGAGAAGTGGGGTAGGGAAGTACTATCTTTTGGGTTTATTTTCTGTTGCTTCTTGTAACTATTTTAAAAGAAGTGAGTCAGTGGACCACAGAAGGCTCAGCTCAGCCACAGGGAAATGTAATCCGGAGGACTCTTCTTCAGCTCCCCCAAGCAAATAGGAAAGGGAGTTTTGCTTTTGTTTTTCTTTAGACATAATAACAGGCTGCTCCTTTGGTGGGTTTGTTTGGCGCTGTCTCGGGTTTTGGCCTTCACCTCAGAGTGCCCACACAAATAGCCAAGGCCTTCCCTCTCATCAGGGAACCAGGAGGGGGCTGGTCCCTGGGGCTGGGTCCTCAGTCATGGCATGGCTGTGCTCCAGGCCCCAGAGCCCCACCTGGCCTGGAGCCTGCTGCATTTTGCTCAGCTCTGGCCCAGCAGGGCTGTGAATGTTCAACAAGGTTGTGGGATGCAGAAGTGTCTTCTTCCAACACACGCTTCCTTGGAAGGGCAGCTTCAGCTGAGAGGAAAGACTCCTTGCTGGATGCCATGCACGTGACCCAGGATCCCAGGATCCCACAGGATCCCAGCACTGGCCACATCCTGTGTATGTTCTTGGAGAGCCATGGTGGGAGCTCTAGGGAAAGGGGTCTTCTCTCTCTCTATGTCCAAAATGGGCTGGCCACAGGCCACGCTGGACACAGCCCTCAGGAGCCATTCCTGTCTTCTACTGGGCCAGCTTTCCTGCAGCATGGCACAGCTCTGACTTGGAGGGTGAGACTCGGGGACTCAGAGGCCGACAGTGAGTCACCTTGATGTCTAAGTGTGTGAGGGTGAGAACCCAGGACCCAGAGGCTGACAGTGAGTCACCTTGACGTCAAAGTGTGCTGTGCTTGATTCCATGTTCCTTTTAGCCCACATCCAAGACTAATGGATGTCTGTGGCTGGAAAGCAGAAAATATGTTCACAGAAAACTCCTGAGCAGAGCTGGGATGACTTATTTTAATCCCCACAATTGGAATAGCTATTTCAAAGGCATGGCTGAAGATGCTTCTTCCCAGCCTGTCCTGCAGAGAGATGATGCAGTTGTTTAATGGATAATCCCAGTGTCCTGAGGAGGCCAGCAACTGTCCCTTCTCCCGCACAGCACCCAAAGTCTTGAATGGATCCCTGGCCCTCCTGGAATAAAGTATGCATAGGGTGGAGAACTTCTGGGAAGGTTGGATCAGGCCATGTCAAATTCCCACAGGAAAATTCCCAAGAAAGGCCCCAGGCCAAGGCTTAGCAGCCAGAGGGGAAGCAGTCCATTCAGTCATGCCCCCCTGCAGTGCAGTGAGACTGGCTGGACATTGGCTGGGACATTGGTTTCCAACACCCCATCTGCCATCCCCACCACACCTCCCCACCCCCAACATTACAAACACACACACACACACACACCACACCCCAGGCCTGTGAGATTTGCTCTAGTTCTGTGAGCTTTGCTCTAATATGGAGGACTGGTTCAAACAATCCTCCACTGCTCCAAGTGCCAGCATGTTCACGTGACTATCTCACAGAGGCAATAACTTTAGTGGGGCAGAACTGAGATCTGGCACATCCACAGCACAACAGGGAGTGGCTAGAGATGGCCGAGCAGTGTGGCTCCCACCTGACCAGCAAGCACCATGACCATCCATGTCTGGGGAGGAAAGAGACCCGCCAGCCATAGTGTGAAACAGGCAGTCAGCTGGGGCTCCCTTCTAAGGAAAAGGCAGCTCTCCTCAGAAGCCGTCCCAAATCCACCCTGGCTCTCAGGAATTCAACAAATATGACAAAGATGAGAAGGGAGAAAGTATGAATTATTTTTTGCAAGACAAGACTATAAGCATCTGCATATTTAAATTTTGATTCATGTCTTTGAAACAATTTCCTGTTTTGAAGATAACTCAGCAAATACATTCTTACTTTATTGGAAACAGCATTTATTAAGCTATTTATGTAGCACAAATTCACAGGTCATGATACATTACGGTAAAATATCACCAAACAAGCCAAAAGGTTATTTTTTTCTATTGTTTTCTGCCTTAGTGAAAGCGGTGTAAATGGCTCTTATCTGAACCACAATGAATTCACATATTCAAGTTGGCTTCTTCGGAAATTTCAGGCCACAAATGGCAGTGATGCGACCAGGAGCAGTAACACGGTAGGTTCCACCACCCAACCCACAGCAAATTAAATCTATCACAATAAAGCCAAACCAAGAAAATTAAAAGGCAAAATAGCAGCAACTGGAAACTGATCTCTCAAGACCTCATTGATGAGCTTCTGGAAACAAAGCCTACTTCCCCCACGTTGCAAGGCCTGTCTCCACAGGAGATGTGTGTTGGAGAGCTTGGCTGCGTGGTGTGAGCACCAGATGTCTTAGCAGGACCCCAAAGTTCAATCCTCGGGAAGCCTGGGACTATTTTAAAATATAAGTGCCAAACATTTGGAATCAAACTAAGTCAGATTACCAATGTGTAGCCCTCAGTCACATGTAAAAAATGAAAGTCAATATAACCAGTATAACCTTTCCTCCACAAGAATGGCATAGTGACTTGCATTTTTAATGAGTTTATGGCCAAGAGGGGCATCTAGTAGTGTGCTGGGGCCAGCTGGTACTGGCTAATGAGAACCAGTTGTTAAATCTTTCAAGAACTTTGAAGCCAGTTGTTAAACACAGCCATCATCAACATTAAAAATAGTATAAACTTATAATTAAATAAATTATATTAAACATGAAAGTAATAAATACTCAAACACTCCACATCCTAATTATTTTACTACATTTTAAGACACAGTGGCAGCTTGTTAGAGGGCTTGGTGGGAGTATTTACACCATGGTAATAAGCAAAGGCTAAAACCAGGGGCTTCCCCCTCCCCGGCCAGGAGCAAGTGGTTGAATATTTACCATCACACTACTGGGGGTTCCCATAGGAGATGACCTGAGCTAACAGTGTGGCCGTGAATATAAACTCTCAAGCAACCTGTTCCCCAATAATGCTAACTTTCTAGAACAGTTCCCATTATATGGGCTGCATTTTAATTGGTCAGGGAAATGCTCAGAACCCTCCCACCTGCACAGGAGTCTGTCGTCCAAAAGACCACCAGGATCACTAAATAGTGAAAAGGAGATCCTTATTGGTGATAGCAGTTGGGGAACTGTAAAGAGACAGTCTCTGGCAAGTACCAAGATGCTCTGTCTTTGAAGAGGGGAAGGGCAATTTGGGTTTCACGGCTCACAAGGCTGGTATCCTATGTATGCAGCAGGTTTGGGGGAAAAGCTGTACATATTTATGAGGAGAGTCAAGTGCATGCACAGTGGGTAAACATGTATGTCACATACATCCCATGTTTACTTTGAGGCAGGGTTTTAGCATTAAAAGAAGTAGAATTTGGCTTTTTATGACAAAAGGTGAACCATATGACACAAAGACAGTTTGTGCACAGCCTCTGTAAGCTGCTGAAAATGGCTTAAGGTCTGCAATTGCTTATCAAGAAAGAATGTTGGTAAGGGCATCCTCTGTCCAATCAGAGTTGTAGTGACTGGGTTGTAAATAAGACTTGGAAGGGGTCTGATAGCACCATTGTTAGGGAGTTTGGAGCCATAGGAATATAGAGATTACTCATGCCAGCCAGGCCCTGAACCAACCTGTAGGTAACTTTGTTTCCTTAACCTTGGTGTCTGTCTTAGTTGATACAGCGGTGTTTATTTTGATCTTTCAGATTACAAGTCGCAATTTAGGAAGGGTGCTCCATCATCATTTCATGATTCTCACTACAGCCCAGACAGGTGGGCAGAGCAGTGTTCTTTCCCCTTTAATGAATGAAGAAGCTGAGCCTCAAACAGATGAGGGGGCTTCCTGGGTTCACAGAGCTCTAAAGGTGGGAACCTAGCTTTTTCAGTGACATTAGCTAGATGTGGTGGGCACTTCTCACTAGAAAAACAAGAATTAAATCAACGTGAGGTCCAGAACTGGTGTCCCCTGTTGGAAAAATAAATTGAAACTAATGTTCTGGCAATAGGTAGCAAAAACTTTAAACCTATGGTACCATCTGTCTTGACAATCTTACCTCTAGAAATTGACCCCTTAATAAATTAAAACTGTGTCTTTATTAGCCCATTTTCATCAGCCCATGTTCAATATAGCATTGTTTATGGGAGTGAACTCAGAGGCAACCTAAGTGCCTGAGGTGGAGGTTGGGCTAAGTTGGTTTGGTTGCATCATCCTCACCTGGAAACTTGTTAGAGATGCAAATTCCCAGGCCCCACACCAGGCAGACCTGCTGGTTGGGAAACTCTGCAGTGAGGCCTGGCAATCTGTGTTTCAATCAGCCTTCCCTGGATTGATTCTGGTGCCTGCCAGAGTTTGAGAACTCCTAGGTTAAGTAAATTATGGAACAACTAAACAATGGAATTCAATGTAGTGAATAAAGCACATGGGAAAATCTGTTCACAATATTATGATTATAAGCATATACCAAATAATCCCAGTTATATAAAACCTAGAACATGCATGCATATATACACACACATGTAAAGTCTGAAATTTTACATGACAAGCCTTAGCAACATTTCTTTGTACGAAAAAGAGATTCCCATCCTTTTGTTAATCTTCTTCTATGATAATTGTGTAAGAAAATAAGCAATAAATTACTTCCAGCTTTATTTAAAGGCTAATGAGGCTGGAAAAAACATATAGGCCCACAAGCAAGATTTTACAAAGCCCCATGACTCCTGGCCACTCTGTCCTAAGATGCTCCATACCAGTCCCCTGGACAGGTCTCTCAGCCTGGATCCCTTGAATGGACATCAGCCTTTGGGTTCCAGAGCATTCGGTTCACTGGGTGCAGAAAAGAGGCTAGGTTGAGGAGTGGAAACCTGCCTCTGACCACAAGGGGTTAAAACCTAACTGGATGGGAAGAGGCTCCTGGGAAAGATGTGACATTTGTTTGCAAGGAAACATAAACAATAACAGATGAAGACAGTAACATGTGGCTCAGAGTGAGCCTGATCAAAGCCAGCTGGGCAAGCAAGCTCCAGGCCTGGCTGCAGGAAGAGATACCCTAGGGGCAGGCTTGGGTGGAGAGGGTCTGTGGGGGAGGCCAGGGCAGCCTCTCCAGCTGTGGGGACTGCGCCAGGGAGTGTGGCCAAGAATTCCAACCTTTTTGGGGGAAGTTGGGTATGACTGAGGCTTCAGACACTTGAGACCTGAATTAGCTGCTCCAGCTGCTGGGAAGGATGGCCCACCCAGAACTGTCTTCTTAGCCCCATGGTTGTAGAACAGAAAACAGTCAGCATTTACCTACACCACCAACCAGGTGCAGAGCACATTTGCCTTCAAGAATACATGGATTCCAGCCAGGATGGACATGACTTGCCACAGGCAGGCTAAACCGTTCCCTTTCAGTGACTTTCTAAATGGGGTGGTAATTTCATTATGTCATCAAGTATGGTAGTCCCAGAGCAGATGATTTTTGAGCCCCTCTTCCCCATTTTCCAGGTGAATTTGCTTAAAGGTCACAGAGCTGCCGAGTTGTGTAGCAGGCGTCGGAGCCAAACGCCCATGTCTATCTACAGAGTGCAGGCTTTTTCCATCCCAGCAAGCCGGATCCTCATCCATTCCCACCTGAGCCCTCCCAGTGCCTCCCTCTGCCCTCCCCAGCTCAGGACACCTGCCCCAGCCAACAGCTCTTCCAGCCACCACCATCCATCAATTCCTCTAAGTGGCAGAGCCCCATAAAGAACCAGTGTGAGCCCAGACTTGGTATTACCATGTCTCCATCCTGCAAAAGTGAACACAGCTCTACAGTGGTTATTTCAAACTGTGCCAGGCAAATGCTAAGCACATATTATAAATTATCATTAATTGAGGAGATGTTTCCTTTTGGGCAGCAGAATACCTCACTGGTTCTGCGGACAATCGCTGAAGCTTAGAAGTTGCAGTACATCCACAAGTTTTCTCAACTGGCCTGGGCCCAAATATGACCTTGCAATGTTCTCCCTCATGGCTTTCAGATGACAGCACAGGCTCCCCACTCAGAATGCGGCAGTGGAAGAGGGGCTCCCTTCCAGCCCCCACGTGATGTCTGAGAATGTGACCTGCCCCCGCCTGCAGGTTCCAGGTGTCAAAGTCACCTCCTGTCACCGTCCTCTGATTTTGTTCTTTTCTTTCTCCCCTTTTTACCATCTCTTCCCTAATGTTGGGTGAGTCATTACCATGCCCATTTAGAAAGTCACTGAGAGAAGATGCATTTAGCTTGCCTAAGACCATTTCATGCCCTTCCTGGCTGGAATCTATCTTTCCTTGAAGAGACATTGAGGGTTTTAAGTGGCAAAACTTCCCCAAACAATCCCTCTTTGGACATTATTTTCTTTCTACAAAGCTTCACTCCCTTGAAACTTGTGGAAACTCTTTTTGAAGGCAGATCCCCTTTCTGCCAACCAGCTCTTCTGCCCAACTCCTTCTCTAGGAAGTGGTGTCAGTGGCCTTGGGCTTTTTCTTAGGAGGAGCGCACTAGGGTTCAGGGGCATAAAACCCTGCATGTGTTTGTCTACAGCTTTGCTCATTCCTCAGGGCTGAGCTGTAGATCCACGGCCACCATGATGAGCTAAGAGTTTCTGGATTCAGTGCCTGCTGTTGCTCCTGGAGATTTGTATCCTGATTGAAGGCTGGTTCCATATCTGTTCACCCAGGTAGTGGGGATAAAATTCATCTCTAAGCGAGCTACTCCCAAGAAAGAGAAGAGCAATGAATGCACCCTGGCCCTCCCCTGCTGACCTTCTCAACACCCACGGAACCCTGAGCCTAACATATGCCTGTGCCTACTGCTGTGGTCACAGCGTCCCCACCTTCACCTCACTCAGACATTGGGCTGACTTTGATCTCTAATCTTAGCTTGTTTTCACCACCTTGCTACCCTGTTTGCCTTTCTGGTCTCACAGTTCATTCTGTCCATGTTGCTCTCCTATCTGGGGGCTCTCTCAACCAGGTTCACCCACAGAAGCAGCAGAAGCAGCTCTGACCTCTCTGCCTCCAAGAGCAGCCTGGCATAATCGGAGCCAAACCTGAGGTGTAAACTCAAAGAGGCCAGAGAGGAACATGCTTCTGTTCCAATGTCAGTGCTCCAGAAACCCTGGAGACCAGCCTCCCCAGTAACACTAATGCTCAGACTTCTTCCACAGTGGAAATGCCACATGCAAACTGCAGTTTTAGGAGTAAAAATTCTATCTGCCCCTAGAAAAATTCTTGTGTCTATGGCAAAAGAATATACACAAGAATTTTTGTTACATGTGTTTTACAGTAACAAAAAAACTAGAAAAGGCACGCAATAAAAGACTGACTAAACCATTGGAAATGATTTCAATTAGGAAAAAAAATAGCAAAATGTTTAAAAGGCAAAAAACATGGGTGAGCATGTGGGAAAAGATATTGCTTTAGACTGTTAGAGGGACAGGGAATTGATAGGGATTCAGTGAGGAAGATTTAGGCAGTAACTAGTACAACTTTTATTTTCCATTTCTCCCTATGGTAATTATCCTAGCTAGTTTCCCAACCTCTTTTTTTCTTTTACTTTTTTTTTTTTTTTTGAGATGGAGTTTTGCTCTCGTTGCCCAGGCTGGAGTGCAGTGGTGCAATCTCAGCTTTCTGCAACCTCTGCCTCTGGGGTTCAAGTGATTCTCCTGCCTCAGTCTCCCAAGTAGCTGGGATTACAGGTGCGCACCACCATGCCTGGCTAATTTTGTCTTTTTAGCAGAGGCAGGGTTTCACCATGTTGACCAGGCTGGTCTCAAACTCCTGACCTTAGGTCATCTGCCCTCTTCGGCCTCCCAAAGTGCTGGGATTAGAGGCGTGAGCCACTACACCCAGGCTCAACTTCTTTTTGAGCAAACATAGTCATTTAAATTTGGGAAGAAAATAACCCATTTTATCTGGATGTTCAAATTATTTCTATAAAAATATTCTTTATAGTTGCTTATACTATTTGGATATTTTTAAAGGAATAGCAACAAATGTTTACTAAGCACCTGCTCTCTGCCCAGCACTGCCCTGGCAGTGAAAAAGACAAAATCCTTGTCCTAAAGAAGCTGGCATTACTGTGGAGGATGAAAAAAAAATAGATGGATGCAAGCATAAATACATAACATAATGCCAGTGGCAATAAGTGTCCTCATGATAAATATAGCATGGTAAGTGAATATATAACTAAAGGAGTGTTCTCAGGGGAGGCCTCCCTGCAGAATAATGTGGGGGAAGAACATTGAGTGGAGAGAGTGATCTGCCATTCAAGAACCTGGAGAAAAAGCTTTCCAGGTAGCAGAAACAGCAAGTGCAAAGACCTAGGCTAGATATGGCATTTTTAAAGCCTAGTAATTCCATGTGACTCTTTTATACTTTCCATTTGCCTGCCAAGGATTCCCCTCTGTTCACCTTTCTGTTCATTTCACCTGAAAAAATATATATATATTTACAATAATTGTTTAAGTCCTTAACTGCTAATTTCAACATCTGGATTATAATGGGTTTACTTCTATTGTCTGTTTTCTCTTGTTAAGAGTCATGTTTTCCTGCTTTTTTGATTGCCTGGTATTGTTCCTTTAAACATTGTGGTTGATGCATTATAGAAACTCTGGATTCTGTTATCTTCCTTTGAAGAGTGTTGATGCTTAGTTGTTCTATGTTTTCTTAGATTCTGTATTTGTCTACTAAGCATCCATTAATTACAGGGCCAAACTAACAGCTACTGTTGTATATATCTGCCCTGCAGTCCAGTTTCCCTAGGTGCCTGAAAAATCTTATCCCTGGCTGGGCACAGTGGCTCACAACTCTAATCCCAGCACTTTGGGAGGCCAAGGCAGGCGGATCACTTTAGGCCTGCCTGGCCAACATGGCAAAACCCCATCTCTACTAAAAATACAAAAAGTAGCTGGGAGTGGTGGCACGCACCTGCACGAGAATCGCTTGAACCTTGGGTGCAGCCTGGGTGACAGAGTGAGACTCCATCTCCAAAAAAAAAAAAAATTTATCCCAAACTTTCTCATCTATCCTGAGTGTGTGCCCCAACCACCTTCTTTACCTAACTCTCACACACCAAGCCAGTATTTCTCCTGCCCTAAATCACTCAGGGCCAGTCATTCAGACAACTGGAGACCAGAGCCCACCAACCCTATCCACACTAGCCAGTACTAAGTTGCTTCCCCTTTCCTGCCTTGCTTTTCCCATGGAAAGCTCAATAAAGGCTCTGGGCCATGCTTTTCTCTGGCTCTTTCTACCTTTTGACCAAACCTGGTGCTTCCTCCCTGTGGCCTCTTGGGACATGGTATGTCCCCTTCTCTTAGGAAGTGTAAGTACTGTAATAAATTATTCCTTCCATGACATGAGCTCTCTGTGTTGTCTTTCAGTCACCTTTAAAATTAAGTCCTGGGCACAAATCATTAGTCTGGCAAGTTACATCACTGGTAAGTTACCTTGATTCTAGAGAATCCTGGTTTTAGGCTGTGTTGACTGGGTCTATTTCAGTTCTGTCTCTAGTCCTAGAGCACAACCCCTAGTCTTGGTTTTCATGGGAAGCCAGCTGTGCTTACCAAGTATATTAGCGTTCTCCAGAGAAACAGAACCAACAAGATGTGTGTGCGTGTGTGTGTGCACGTGTATATGTATGTGTGTGTGTATATATATATATATATATATATATATATATATGTATATATAATATAAAGTGGTTTATTTTAAGGAACTTGCTCACACAATTATGAAGCTGGCAAGTACAACGTGCAGTCTGGGCCAGCAGGCTAGAGACCCAGGAAGAGCTGAGGTTGCAGTTCCAGCCTGAAGGCCACATGCTGCAGAAGTCCCTCCTGCTCGGGCTTTGCTTTGTCTGTGCCTTTGAATAATTAGATGAGGCCCACCCAAGTTACGGAGGGCAATCTGCTTGACTCAAAGTCCACGAACTTAAATGTAAATCTCATTCACAAACACCCTCACAGACACATCCAAAATAATGTTCTACCAACTATCTGGGCATTGTGGCCCAGCCAAGTTGATACATACAATTAAGCATCACACTAAGTCCTTCTATTAATACTTTGGCAGGATTTAAACTTCAAACTTTGTCTCTCAATGGCAGGACAGCTGCTGAAATCTCTGCTCAGCTCTTTTTAGCCTTCCAGCTGTTGTTTTCCACTGAGCCCCTTGGCATTTCATTCTCTGCATGCCAAGTTTAGGAGTCACCCATCAATTTAAGGGGAATTTTGAAGCAGAGTTGGGGTCTCTTCCAAAATCAAAAGTTGCTTCCTTTCTGGGATTGTTCCCCTAAATTCTAGCCACTATGACAACATCAAGCCCCAACCTCTGTCTTCCTAGCACAGTAAGATTGTCACATCCTGCTTAAACTCTCTTGCCCTGTATGCAGTGTAAATGGGAACAGGTCCTCAGAAGTCGATCTAAATAAATGTGGAGCTCACCTACCTACTTCTTTTCTTTTAAGGGCCAATTACTCACTGGATCCTCCTTTGAAGCCAAGGTCTAGTGTCTTTTGGCAGCTCTGGTAAACTGTGTTCTCTTGTCTGATCTGTCCTTTTTGTGCTCTGTCTGCTCCCTCCTCCTAGAACACCTATTAAACGAGCACTAGAACTCCTGGATCTTCCCTCCGCATCTCTCAACTTCCATTTCACAGAATTACCTATTGTCTTTCTGCAACTCGCTTTGTGAAACAGAAAACTGATTTCACAAAATCCAGACAACCAAATGGCTGAACACGTTAGCACCTTGTTTGTCTCCATAGACTTCCTGACCCTCCTTCTACTCAGCCGCAGCTCTGTGCACAGCAATGTCCTTACTTACCCATCCCAGCTTGCCATGTGATTTCATGCTTCCAGGCATTGGCATGCCAGGTGCCAGACACCCTGCCAGGTGCCAGATGCCCTGTCTGCTTTTCTGACCAACAAACTCCTTTGTGTCCAGACAGAGATGTTGCTCTGCTGGCCACTGTGATTTTCTCTTTTTCCTGGGATCCAACAGCACCCTGTTCACACCTCAAAAGTAGCACTCACTTACCCTGTTTGCCTGTGGTTTCCTCTGTTAAGGCCACATCTATGTCTTCCTTGTTTTTTCCCATGGTGTCTCATACCATACTTTAGAAGAGGGAACATTTATAGAGCACCTACACATTTTGGACACTATTCCAAGTGTTTTACATGCAATAACTCTTTGGCAAGTCATAGCAACCCCCTAGGGCCATCATGGTCATTACAAACGAGAAAACTAAGATGAAGTTGAGTCACTTGTCAGGGGTTGCGCACAGATAGTAAGCAATTGGCCAGGAGGAATTAGACCTTAGCCAGCTGGATTAGGCCCACACTCTGAACTGTGAGAAGGAACGATTCCATCCACAAAGGGGCACACTGATCATAATGGTGGGTTGTTAGAGTGCATGCAGCTGTGTCTACAAAAGCTAGGCTACGAGTGCAGATATAATTTACATGAGTAAAGTATCCACAGGGTATAACAGGTGCTTGCCACCATCCCCTGAGAAGGTTTTCTCCTGTTCCATTGTGTCTTATTTTCCTTTTGAGACTGACCATTTCCTTATGTTTGTCAGTGCCACTTCCATCCGGACAGAAGGAACCCAGGTCAAGGCTGACAGGAGGAGCAGGAGCCGTCAATGAGAGCAGACCTCAGAAGCCAACGGAGGTGAGAAGAGCACCATCCACAGCCCCATCCTCTGAATGCTGTGGGAAGAAGTCCACAAAATACCACCCCTTGGAGTCAGTCAGTAGTAGAGCCCTTGCTGCTGGCTGCAAATACCCCATCAGAACATGTTTGGGGTGATTCTTGGACCTGGTTTCAATTTCTTTTCTGCCAGTCAGCAGTTGTGCTTGACTCACAATTTGTTGCCATCTCTTGAATTAAACTCAGGAAACAGGATAAAGATCAGAACCACATTGTAAAAGCTTCCTTATGGTTCATTTTTTGCTGAGATAAATAATGAGCAGCTCTGATCCATGTCTCTGGAGAGCTCAGAGCACACTACCAGGAGCTCCTAGCCACAGGGTGAGCACAGGTGGCTGGTGTTCTCTTGATGAGGAAAGACAGCAGTGTCCAATCTACCCTGCCTTACACGGAGCCCCAGGTGCTCTCCCGGACTGTGTTGCTACCTAAAGCACATGGCAATTGCATGATGCTAACCAGAGCAGCCCCTCACTCATTAGAAACATCTGCTTTGCATTATTTACACAGGCAAAGTTTTCCTTTTTACTGAGCCTACCCAGTTCAAACTTAAGTGGGATTTGCCAGCTATCTGGCTAATTTTATGAGCAATAATAAAGATTGGTGAACACTTGGTTTTTGCATAATTATAATCAATTTTATGTTAAACTTAGCTTAAAAGAAATTTATCTTCATGAGAAAAATAGACAGACTTTAGTGAGGACCAATCTACAAAATGCCTGACCAGAGTTCTTCAAAACTGTCAAGGTCATCAAAATCAAGGAAAGTTTCAGAGATTGTCACAACCAAGAGGAGCCTAAGGCAATGCTGTGACTAAATGTCATGTGGTGGTCTGGATGGGGTCTTGGACCGGGAAAAGGATACTAGATAAAAACAGGAAATCCAAATAATGTGTAGATTTTAGTCAATAATAATGTATCAATATTGGCTCATTAAATTGTGACAAATGTGCCATACCAATGAAAGATGTTAATAACAGGGGAGGCTAGGTGTGGAGCATTCGAGAACTCTCTCAACTATGCTCTCAACTTTTGGGTGAGTCTAAAACTGTTCTAAAATAAAAACTTTATTTAAAAATATATAAAGAGGCTGGGCACAGTGGCTCATGCCTGTAATCCCAGCACTTTGGGAGGTCAGGACAAGAGGATTTCTTGAGCCCAGGAGTTGGAGACCAGCCTCGGTCACATGATAAAACTCTGTTTCTACAACACATACAAAAATTAGTGGCACACGCCTGTAGTCTCAGCTAGTCAAGCGGATGAAGTGTGAGGATCATCTGAGCCTGGCAAGGTCAAGGCTGCAGTGAATAGTGATTGTGAAAATGAAATCCAGCCAGGCGACAGAGTGAGACCCTGTCTAAAAAAAAAAAAAAAAAAAAAAACTATACATATACATATGTAAATTAAGAATGAAACAGAAACTTCCATAATCTCATCTTCTGAATTTTGGAATTGTGTAAAAGTTGCCTCAAACCAATGATAAGTAATAGCTCATGTTTACCAAGTGCTGACAACATGTCAGTGTGCTAAGAACTTTACACACGTTACTTGTTTAATTCTCACAAAGATCCTATGGAGTAGGTACAACCATTAGCCTACTGCACAGATGTAGAAACTGAGGCATAGCACCATTAAATAATTTGTCCAGCTCAGAAAGCAGCATTTGGTTATAGAGCTCATGTACTCTACCACTGCTCTGTACTGCACAGAGCAGGGCCACAAATGAAAAGACAGTCATGAGTCCGTTAAAATTCCAGGATAGTGAACACTGGGACATAGAATATGCTGCTAAGGGGGGCTGGGACATTCAAGGCCTGAGTGACTTCTCTGCATCTGTATACAGAGCCTGGGAGATGTGCCACTCATTTGTCATCTGATGATAATCTACTCATGAAAAATCATATTCTTTGAAGGATGATTAATTAATTTGACAAATCCGAGATTAAGACAAATGACTTAGAAGGGAAAGAATCAGTCATAGCCTGCACCTGGCCCGGTATGGACTTCCTGTCGCAGGCCACTACCCCTTCTGCCTGCATCTTCAGGTCTGCCCAGTTCAGCCTCTTTCTGTCTAAGCAGCCAACCTGCACACTCCATCTCAGGGGAAAGGAGCCTCCAAGCTGGCTCTCCCCATCTTCTCTCATAAATCCCAGAGCATGTTCTAGAATAATCTTTGACACGTGCTTTTAACCCTGATTTGCAGGTTTGAACACCTGTAGAAAGGTGAGGTTCACTCTCTCCAAATGCAGCCCATCCTTGCCTCCCCAATAGCCTAGGAGACCCAAGACCCAGTTGCAGAGCTCTCTAAGGCCATTGCTCCTCAGGCTCTCCACATCCAATGACTCCCGAACCTGGGGTTGTTCTGAACTCCCTCTGCCTCCCTGACAGATCGATCCACCAGCAAGTGCTGGCATCTCTTCCCCTAAGGTCCATCCCAACCCCACCCTCACCCCCAATTCTCTGCCTCTTTGCTGCCAGCACTCCACCTGGGCCATGCTCACTTCCTGCTTGGACTGCAGCATGGATGCTGCAGGGACTCTAGAGGCTGCAGAGGGATGCTAGCATGCCGTGACTCGTTTGAAAGTCACAATAGTGCTGATATTTTTATTTCCAACTGCCTAGCTTGTCTGCCTCTCAGCTGTTTTCCAGCTTTGATGATGGAAAGGTTGCATCTTCAGGCTCTGTTCAGCTCAGTATCCCTCTGTCTAAGCAACCCTGCCTGCTTAGAAAGGAGTATTATTAACTCCTCCAAACCTGCATTTATTTCCTAAAATTGCATGATACGTGTACTTTCAACACACAGAGAAGGACACCCATACATACACATATTTATGTATTAATTTGTATAGATTCAATTTAAACACACTTTTAACTATATAGATTGATATATATATAGATGATTTTTAATTTGTTGACCTTGCCAGATAACCCTGTCCCATCTCACCTTCCCCTCCTTCCCGTACTGAATCCTGGAGGCCCTAAACCATATCCACTTCATTAGAACCTGGCTGGCTGCAGCCATCTGCGACCTGCTTCCCTGTGCAGGTTGACTCTTCCTCCTGACATTTGAGAACAATTTGTCCCCTTCCCTTAGGGCATGATGTTCTCCATGCTGCGGTGGGCTGTGTTGGGGGAAGCTGTATGTGTCCTAGGGTCCCAGAACTTACAAGGCTGGGAGGATGGGGCTTAGTCCAGACTCTGGCCTCTGCTAGCATACTGTCAAACCACAGGGTGAGGCAACCATGCTGGAATGGCCCTGACTCATGAGGCTACACTGCAGACCCAATGGCTTGTTAGGACTCCTTTCAGTCACTTCCAAGAGCTACTGCCCATTGGACCCTGCATCCCCAGGAGCTACTCTTATGGAGAAGAGCTGTTGAGGGGGGCTTCAAAGAGCTTCCAATAGGACTAGAAGGACATCCAGAAGGAAGATATTGAGCTTGGGTTTGGAGTGTAAGCCAGAGAGACCTCAATGTCAGGGCCTCCTGCCCATCTGCCTCCCAGATGATGTCAGCGTTTATGACCCAAGGAGAGGACACTGGCCTTCAGCATAATTCTCTCTGTTTTTCACTTGGGAAACCTTGTGTGGGGCTAAAACAAAACCAGAGTCCAGTGGTGGTGTTGGGAAAATATGTCATGAGGTGGGGTCGGGGAGAGAACACTGAGGTTTTGCTGTGTGTACAGAAGATAAAACGATGGCTGAAATTCCAGGAGCATTCACCTTCAGTTCACAAGTGTTTCTGCCGTTCACAAACTAGATGTCTTAATTAAAATGCTGCTGAAGGAAGCAAATCAATTAGCAGATCCCATACAAGATGGTTTATTTTATCCTACACACAGAAAATTGCTTATGAGTATCACATTACCGCTCTTGGTTATCAGTTAACAAAGGCTGCTAATGAACAGCATCGTTATCAAGTTGGGTAAGAGACGCCCTGGGAGTCCAGGCAAATCATGACAACACAGCACTTTGTTCTGAAATATAGCTCATCTTTCATCACACACAAGGAGGGTAGCCCAGTCCGAGAGATTTCCTGGAAAGTGGAAAGGCAAAGAATATTCCGTGATGTGATCCCAGAAATACAGGGTTAATATTACAAGGGAGAGAAATGCTCACGGGGCCTTAGCCTGATGGCAATTGTAGAATGTCATGGCTTTCCTCAGCCTCCACCAGTCATGTCTTCTATGCAACAGCCATGTACATTGTAATAATAACCACAAAATAATTGTATAAGGAGAAAAATAATAACTGACATTCATGGCCCTCTGCAAGGCACAGCATCTGCTTTCTCATTTGGTCCTTCGTTGGTTCCATCCTTTGAAGGTCTGAGAGCAGCAGGCCCATTCCATGAACACCAAAGCCCTTCCTACCACGCCAGCCCAGACTGCCATTTCCCCTCCAGAAGGCCAGTGTTCATCATCGATAGGGCTAGAGACCATCCCGGAGTCCCCATGTTTCAGGACTCCCGAATCTTCACATAGTCCATCTTTAAGAAGGGATCTCCTGGCAGCTAAGAGGGTGAAGCTAATCGTTCTACAAAGTAGTGCCTAACTGTTGATAAGATGGCAGTGTGTAGGAAGCTGTGTGTTGGGTCGGATTCCCCTTTTCATGAGCCATTTTCTGTGGTAGGTTCCACGGACATGGACACCATGGCCTCATGGAAGCATGAACAGCTCCAACACAGGGTGAAGCTTTTGGTGTCCACCTTCTTCCACTGCAGGCTAAATTGCTCAATCCTTCCTCTGTGCAGTCCGTTTCTTCCAGAAGAGGCATGATATTTTCCTTCAGGACAGAGGCACTGTATATTCTATTCCTTCTATTATTTGCCTCCAATATTCAGTCCATGTGAAAGTTCATTACCAGCCTTGGGTGTTTGAATGCAGAACATCCTGAGATGTTAACCATGGGCTGTTTTCCACGGGGCTAGAACCCCTCTTCACGTCACTGCTCACCTACAGCTCAATCACCTGTGCATCTCTGGAAAGGAAGAGAACCATCTGGAAGACTTATTGAGAGAGCAACTATACTCTAATGATTGCATGTGTTTATGCAATTCACACAATTAAACAGGTATAAAAGCTCATCAGCAAAGCCTGCAAGGTGGGCCACTTCCTTGTGCAACATAGAAAGGAACTGAAGGCCAGTGGCTTCTGGGTAAAGGGGAGAGCTCAACCTGGAAGTTGTTTTCTGCCTGCCAAACCCAAGGCAAACAAAACTTCATCCACTTTGATGACAAAAAGAGAAGTCATTCCTCGAGGTTAATAGGCATATTTTGGGAAACTTTTCACTTTCTGTAGTTGGTGAATTTGCACAGATCTGGCCAGATGCTACGAGGAACAAGATAGATAGACCTATGAGAATAGAACTGGAAAATAATGCCTTCACATCTGAACTACGAGCTGTTACAGAGGGTGAGACTTCTCTGTGCTTGGTGTACCAGCTTTGATGAAAGGGAAGGGCAGCATAGGTGTCTAAAAAAGGGGAAACATGGAAGAGAAGATGAGTCAACAAACCAGACTCAGAAACAATAGAATGTGGACTGAAAGTAGGATGCAGACCCTGCGAAGGGCCTCACTTATACCTCCATGCCTTGAGACCAAATTCACACCCTCACTGTAGTTTCACATAGACATCTAGAATATAATAGAATGGTATATATGCTTACATTGAATGATGCAAAATTGTGTATGACTTTCCATTGTGTATATTCAGTCACAGTCTCCTGACAGCTAAGATCTCCTCATGAGAGATGGGGCAGCAACAGCAGGAAGGCGGGACAGAGTGAAGCATCTTTGGGACAAGCCACGTCAAAGGCCATAAAACAGACAGCACATATTTGACTACCCCATATTTGAGGACCAAGGACACACGTAATGGTCAGGGATATAGAGCTTGATGGCAGTAGAACCAACGTTAAAGACAAGAAAGACATTGGAAACCAGCAAGATATGGTGAGAGGAAGTGGTGAGAAAAGTAAAGGGAGGGATTCCAAGCAAGGGCCTCAAATGCCGTCAGGGGTTTTTTTCTCCTTCAAAAGATGGAAGGTTCAGAAGAAAATGGGGTTTAGAGGCCCAGAGGCTGAGCAGAGGGTTCATCCTTCCTAGTGCCTTTAACAAGCCCTGAATTAAAAGGCCCCTTCAGGTGTTGATAAGGAAGGGATCTAAAGAAGCTGGAGTTAGCCAGGTTTGCACTTGAGATATCAATGCCCAGAGTAGATGGGCAGCCCAAGAGAGCAGCCTCCTCCCACCCCTGGCTGCCCTGAGCAGAAGAAGGGGCACTGCTGAGCTACCTTATGGATGAAGTTGTTCTCTGACAGGTAGCGATACCTCTGCAGATGGGTGTGTCACCAGCCACCAGAGAGCCAGGCACGATCTGGAGAAAATGAGATAAGGCTGGCAGAGTCTAGGGCAGCATCTGCTGGCTGGACTAGTAGGTGAATTAGGCTGCATGGTACTCCGGGCTGGCATCATGAGAAAGAGCAAGAGCATGTTGCATACCATGTGATTTAGTGGCTACTTAACCCAAATCTTTGACCACATCCTCCAAGAATCACATAGACCAACAAGGAAAGAAGAAGAACAAAAAGAAACAAAAGTAAAACTAATAATGAGGATTCCTATACATTCTGGTTAGCCCCAGGGTTCATCTGGTTAGGATACATTTATGCCTGCTAATACTGAAAAAAATCTTTGGCAAAATCCAACACACATTTCTGATTTTTAAAACTCAGTAAAATAGGAACTGATGAATGCTCCTTAACATGATAAGATATGTGTGCTTCAGCCCTAGAGCCAGCATGTTACTTGATGGACACCACTAGTGGATTTCCCATCAAAGTCTGGCAGACGCATGTTGTATGCACACTTTTTCCACTATTATTTAACATTGGTGTTTTTAGCCAATGCAATCAGAGAGGAGAAGACAATTAAAGGCATATGAATTGGGAAAGAAGATCTGTATTTTGGCAGGTGACATAATATCATAAAAACTCAAGGGACGGAGAAGAAAACAGAGACAAAGAATAAAAGCATTCAACAAGGCAACCCCTATAATGCTAACATAATCCCCCAAAATCAAAATACAATCAATGACCAGGTAGGAGACATAATGGCAAAAACTCCATTTTGAAAGCAGCAAAGGCAGAATACTTAGGAATAAATATAACAAAAAATATGACAATCTTATAAGAGTAAAATCTGAAAACTCTCCTGAAACACACAAAAACAGAAACACACAAAATCAGATAATTTTTTATGAAAAAATTATCTCTTTTCCATGGAGAGCCACTTAACATCGTAAAGAAGTAAATCATCTTTAACTTAATATGTAAATATAATGCAACCCCAATTTAAATACCAGGATGTTTGCTTCTTTTTTTTTTTCTGTGTGTTGTTTTTATTTTCTTTGCTTTGGTCTATACAAAAGCCCAATAACCAAAAACACAAAGCAATCATCATAAAATTCTCCACTGGGACCTCCCCCAGCTCCCGCACCATGAAAGATTTTTGTTTCTGTGGAAAGATTCTGAAGTTGATTCTAAAGTTCATACGGAAAAATAAATATGAAAGAATAGCTGGAATAAAATAGCAAGAATGTCCCCTGCAAAGGAAGCACAACGTGTGTGCGGGTGGAGGGAACCAGCCCCACCAGAAGGTAGAGCACACCAGGAAGCCTCTCTAGGCTCAGCCTCTCCAGGAAGCTCTCAGCACATGAATAACCGCAAATACCAATGGAGAATAAAGCCTAGAAATACCCTAGTACGCACAGAAATTTAGAACATTATAAAAGAGGCAAATGAAACACTGGGGAAATAGGGTGGTTTTAAAAAATAGTATCGGAATAATTCAATTGCCATTTGGGAAAAAGAAAAAATTGGATCTTAACTCATACCACACACCAGAATAAATGACAAATGGATCAGACATCTAAGTAAACAATAAAACCATCCAAGTGCTGGGAAAAGTATATATGCACAGATATATACATCTATATGTAAACATCTTCTAATTTTATTTTAAAAAGTGTGTCTATATAAAAGTGTTTTTAATTAAATATATTTTTGTAAAAGTATCACAGAAAGAATAAACCAGGAACTATTGAAAATAGCAACTTCAAAGCAGTAGGTAGGAACACGGTAGAGTGGACAGTTACAAGAGAAACACTTCTCTGAGTTTATCTGTTTACATAGTTTATCTCTGAATCGTGTACATGACACACGATTCAGAGATAAACTGTGTAAAGAAAACTATGTAAATTAAAATTTTAAAAGATTAAAACAGGAAATAGTAAAATATAATACACACTAAAACAAGTGTTTCTGACTCTCTATCCAATTGATAGCATAACCACACAGAGAATATAATTAATTTCATTTGAACACAATACTCTGGCTGTGCACACCTAGAGGGCTAAATTCTAAGGGTAAAAGCCACTGCAAAGAAATATGCAAGTTTACTGAGTGGGTCTATAGCTGCATAGTGCTCTAATTTCTGGAGGCATTTTGTGTGTATTATAGAATAGAGAAAATGAGTAAAAATATTATGTGGTGGAAAAGCAGGGTTTTTACTTTGGAGAAGGCAATCTAGACACATGGATTAGGGAAAGCTTAGGAAAAGTCTTATGATATTGAGTGTGTAATTTAAATGCACGTTTCGTGACTCTGCCCATTGAAAGGGCCTAGAAGCAATGACACCTCAGTAGCCCTGAGCACACATTGTGCCCAGATCTTAGTTTCTAAAAATGATTCCACAGTAAAAATTAAAATAAAAGAGAGAGAGAGTGAGAGAGAGACAGAGAGAGTGAGAGAGAGACAGAGAGAGAAACAGGGACCCTTGGGAAAATTAGACCCTTGTGCTACCCTTGGGAGCAGGTCAAGGTGAGCCTGAGATATTGTGTTGTCAGAAGTCTAGCATGTGCTCAAAGACTAATGGGTTCTGTCTAAAGGGCACAGAGGCCACCAAGAAGTGACTTGCACTAGCCAAATTTGCAACAATTTGGGCTTCAGAAAGAATCATGATGGCAATGGATTAAAATGCCTTGAAGTCCACAGTAATAATCCTCAACAAAAGAAGGAGAAAGGGGAGATAGAATAAAAAGGCTTCCTTGTGGATGAATGTCAGCTATTAAATATAGAAGAAATGCTGGAATTAGAAAGTCAATATTTTGTAATCACCAATGGCAAAAACTGCTTGAAGCAGGATCATGAATAGGTATAAAATCATTAGGTGAGGAATTGTTGGGGGTCGGGATATTCACATAGTGTCAAAGTGCCACCCCTCGTATTATTCATTTCAGAGGGGAAAATTCTAATTTCTACAAATGTAGAAATCTAGTGGTCACTCCCTTAACCAAGCAAACGAAGCATCACCAACAGTGATGCAATACAACAAAAGATACACAACATCACTTCATGGTATTTCTGACCAAAAACTTCAATCTGAATCTACTCAGGAGAAAACGATCAGACAAATCCAGAAAATGGGACATTGTATAAGACAACGGGGCTTAGGGACTTCTCAATTAACAATGCCATAAGGATAAAAAGCAGAGGGGCTGTTCAATACTGAAAGAGACTTAAAAAAAAGACAAAATAAATACAAATATTTTTTCTGGATTGGAAAATAGCACAATAAAAAATAGAGCAATAAAAGATACTTCTGAAATAACCAGAGAAATTTAAATATGGACTGTATAATAGATGATATTAAATTAGCATTAATTTTCTTAGGAGTGGTCACTGTATTGTGATTATACACAATAGGAAACACAATGGTGCTGTATTCAGGGGTGAAATATCATGATATCTACACTAATTTGCAAGTAGATCAGTCAAAAAAGGCTTATGTACACAGAGATAAAGCAAAGGGGGCACCGTGTCAGTGAGTGACCCTAGGTGAAGGGTGTATATATTTTGATTGTCCCGTTCTTTCAACTTTTCTTTGGATTTGAAAATTTTTCATAAAGCAGGAGAGTGAGGTCAAGAGATTGCCCCAGGCCTGTGTGACCATCCTGGGCTGGTCAGACAGGGAGCAAATTCTCAGTGGGTTTGGCACATGCAAGGGGCATGAGGTGAGGAAAAGCCAAGCTGGGGAATGTGGATTGTGAAATGATGATTCTCAAAACCCTGGTGAAGATGCCTTCATTCCTAGGAGTCTTCATCCATAGGCTCATTCAATCAGGGGTCCGAGATCCTGTCCCCTTCTGTAGACCGGCCCTCCACATACAGGCTTCGTCCTCTCCGAGACCCCAAAGCAGCACTGAGATGCAAATACCCAGCCAAACTGATAGCATGATGACATGAAGAGATGTTTGGGAATTTTTTTCATCAAATGGACTAAATTGGCTAATTATTAGATTGGACACTATCATAGGATAGGTCTTGGAGAATGAAAAAAAGTTTACCTATCCTGTTAAAACCATTTTCTCAGCTCTAACTGGGCAAATGCCCCACAGCTTCATGTTAAATCTTGCCAAGTACCATCATGTCCCAAGGTGATGCTGATTCCTGGTCTCACAGCTGTCCTGGCATGAGGGCTCCTGGCCATGCCATGGTTGCCCGTCCCACGTGGCCAGGGGAGGGAGAGGTCATGCCGAAAACCCATGCAGCCCCATGGGGCAGAGACTGCCTGTCCTCCTTTTAAGACAAGTGATCACTCTTACAACTCACCTTTTGGAGAAATTGTGGTTTCGCCTGCAAAACAAGATAAAAGGGTGTTCATTGCCTAAGCCTTAGAAGCCAGAAAGACAATGCAAAACTTGCTGCAAGAGAGTGGCTTGCTTGTCATTAGCTTGCTCTTTTGGGTCTGACTTCCTCATGACTCAGCCTGACTCCATCTAGTGTTAGTTTTGGAAACTCGAATCCTGCTTCTCCTCTCTGAAAGTCCCTCTATTTGCAGAGGAGCTCTGTTACGATACCTGCCAAGAACAGCTCCCTGCACGTGGTGAGGGCGATGTATTAATTATCAGGGGTATAAACTCCCATCCAGCCATTGCCTCCCAGCCTCCCTCTCTCCTGGCCTTTATTTCTTGCCTCCCTCACCCACTTGCTTCCTCTAGCATCCCTTCATGTTTTCTCATGAACTTCGCTTTCAGAAAGTTCATTGTTGAATAACTATTGGAGCCATCTTTCCTGGATTATGGAAAATGCCTTCTATAGCCCTGATAGCTCAAAATAACCCAGAACTTCCAAAAAACACATATAACAGAGACGCTCCTCTTAGATGATCATGCATAAGAACATAAAAAGCACAGTGACTGCTCATTCAGCAGTGTTTTCAAATGGGTCTGTGTTGTATTGCTCACAGCAGCATCATCCCACACAGATGTATGTGTGTCAGAGTCCATCATGAATGGCCACATGCACATACACACACATATACACAGGCAATAAATGCACACACACATATAGACAGGCAATACATGCACACACACACATATGCGTGCGCACACACACAACAGGATTAAGGATCGAGCTTTGTGAAATTTCATTCTATGTGAAGTCCGTGGCTAAGATGTCCCTGAAGCATGGTCTGCTTCAAGGTCTGGCGATTTGCAAAGCAAAGTGCCTTAACTCAAAGTCCCCCTCAATGTGTGCCAGGAATTCAGATGGTCAAGGTAGCGTCCCTGTGCTGGGGGGAGCTCTAGTACTTTAGAGCCTTCCCCGTGGTGAGAAGGTCACTGTGCTAGAATCTCCACATGTTTCAATATTCCTGACCACAGGGGCTGAGCTGGCCACAGCAGTCTGTGTCCTCTGCCTGGGTACCTAAGCACCCAGCAGAGGGCCCCTGAGGCCACATGGTGCCAGGGTCTTCGCCATGGCCAACACAGCCCATCCATTCAAAACAGACTCCTCCTGCACTCCTCACCACAGATGCTACCGCTACCTGGACCCACAAAGGCAACAAAGGTTCTAGGAAGTCAATCCTTCTCACCCTTCCAGACTCCATCCATGGCCTCCTCATGTCCTCCAAGAGCCCTGTGTGAAAACCCTTATAATGGCCAGTCCACCCTGATTCCATGGTGGGAGATGCTGACTCAGCGCCCAACCCACAGCCATCTGAGTGCTGCCCTTGGGTCAGCGGGGACTGGGACACCCTCCTGGCCAGGTGCCGCAGCTGCACACTTAGGAGAACCTGTGATTGTGCCAACCCCCCTAGGGCTAGAAGAACACAGAGCTGCCCGGGGCAAAGGCCTCTTAGGGCGGGGGGAAGGGAGGGGTGTGAAGAGCTGGCCAGCATGGAACTCTACTCTCCCGCATCAGTGGATTTGGGGGCACTGGGAGCAGTTCGGCATGTTTCTTCTATAAAAAGGAATGTGACAACTTCAGCCAATGTGGGTCTGGGTGTGTGAATATGTGCATGTGTGTGTGTGTGTGTGAGAGAGAGAGAGAGAGAGAGAGATGGGACATATGGCATCTCTGGTCCCTCAACCTGAAATATCCCCAATTCGACCACACATTTCCAAAACCCCCTGAAGCTGGTTACATGCCCTAGATGCAGAGAACGTGACATGGCCAGCAAGAGGAGTGCTGTGTGGCCACCGGGGCCTGGACACTTCACAGGCCCACTCAATCTAAGTTGACCACACATCCCTATTTCCCTAGGACAGTCCAGGCTCACACCTATCATCCTGGTGCAACTTTTACAGAGCCTCTTCTCACTCTCACAAAGTGCTGTCTTGGATGATAAGTTATATATCCTGTCTTCTCCAGCCCAGGACCCAGTGGACTGACACAAACTTGGGGTGGGGGGATGACATGGGAGGGGACAGAGAGAAGGAGAGTGAGAGTCAGAAACAGAAGGAGAGATGGGGTGCTGGGAGACAGAGTTGATGAAATGTGCTTTAATGCTTCACAATCAGAAACCACTGCTGAAAACTAGAATATCTGTAGGAGGAGAAATCCTCAAAAAAAGTGAACTTCTCAAGAAAATCCATGTCCAGCTCATCCCAAGCGCATGACTCCATGAGGGCTGATGAGTCATGACCCGCAGCCACAATGCACCATGCGTTCATCCCTCATGCAGCCATTAATCCATCCGCTCCTTCAATAGACACTACTTGGAAGTTACCCAGTCCCTGGTCCCATGGAAGAACTGGAGGGTGAGACTGGGCTCTGGGTACTTTCTAAAAGCCACTAACCCTGTGTCAACCCAGACCTCTGTCCTAAATGCCAGCCACTTACTAGACATCTCCTCTACATGGAAGTGTCCAGAAACTTTCGGCTCACCATGTTCAAAAAAATATCATCTCACCCAGCTCACTGCCCAAAGCTGCTCCCCCACCAACTTCCCAAAGGGCACCTGCTCAGAGAAAACTCTGAGCTGTTCTAGATTCTTTTCTCTCCTCCAGTGGCTGTCTCAGTCCCTCATCCCAGGTCCCTGGGCCAGCTCCTCCTTAACTTTGTTCCCATCTTTCATTTTTTCCATTGCCTCCACCTGGACTTACTCCAGCAGGGCTTTGCACCAGGCCTGAGTCTCTGTCCGGGCTTCCAGCACATCTTCCTGGCTGCAGCTGGGCCCTCCTCCATGCCACCATATAACAAAAAATATTCTCTCTCTCCCCTGCTTAGAACCCATCTGTAGGTGACCAGAAGTTTCAGGACAGATTTCAGACTCCTTTGCTTAACACAAGCCCCTCTGACTGTACATGCATAGAAACTACCTATCTCTCCAGCGCTTCCTTCCATATCGTCACATGAAACACTTGCTTCTGCCACACTGCATGTTTGTCAGCGGCAGGTTTTACCCATGATGCCTACATATACTAGGGTTCCCTCTGCATTCATGAGCTTCTCTTAGTCCTTCCGCACGTAGCCTGAGGCTCCCCTGCACCTCCTAGTGGCTATGCAGCCCTCTGCACCCCCAAGACACAAGGCAACACATGCTTAGCCTGCCATAGACCTCCCGGGACCCCCACCCCCACTGTGCAGCCACCACCTGGGACCTGCCTGTCTCCCCTGTAGACTGGGGGAGATTGTCCTACTTCTCTCTCCTTGACCCCCAGCACCTAGCCCATGGCCTCATGTTCAGTTATTTATTCATTCATTCAACACATATGCAAGTATCCACTTTGTCCCTGGCACTGTGCTAAGTGCTGTGCTACAGAAGTGAAAAGGAAGACCCTACCCGCCCGGAGCTTACATTTTAGAAAAAAACCCATGCAAAATAGACAAATCAATATATCGTATAGCATCAACTAGTGCAAAGAATTATAAAGAAAACTAAAGCCAAGCAAAGAGAAGAGAATGGTGGCTGGAGTCGAGAGGGGATTGTACCTTAAATAGGCCCTCCATGATGCAGTGGTGACACTGAAGCAGGGATTTGAAGGAAAAGAGGGTCGAGGCTTGCAGCTTTCTGGCAAAGAGCATTCCAATTACAGAAAACAGCAAGTGCAAAGGTCCCAAGGCAGGACCGTCCCTGAGGACGTGGGCTCTGTGCAGAAGAGCAGGGTACCTTGATGCCAGCAGGGAAGCCCAGAAACCTGGGACAAACCACGTGTGACCTCCCAAGTGACAGGGGCTGGAGGCCTCATTCTGAAAGTCAGGGGTATGCACTGAAGGGGTCTGAGTGGGGGTGGAACAGGATCTAATCCAGGCTATGCAGAGGCGAGCCCTACTCCCTTTGACGGCTGTAGCCTGTGGCCCTCACTCTTGTGACACCTGCCCACTGGTCCAGAGGAGGAGAGAGTGTAAGGAGGGGACCACGAGGTGCATTCTAGTCACCTAGAAAGCATGCCAGAGTGCAGAGAAGGCTGGGGATGACAGGCAAGGGAGTGGCACGGTCAAGACAGGAGAGAACACGATACCTCTCCCTGACTGTGTGGGCAGTGACCTTACCTTGGGGCTCTCTTCTTTAGCGGGATGGTGTCTAAACAGAGAAAGCCGGGCATTAGGAAGGGGGTCGTGTGACAAGAGGTGCAGAGCATTCCCTAGAGCTTTCACCTCCCTCTCCTTGGTCCTCTCACTCACGGTTGCCCTCGAGAGACCCGGGGCCTGGCTGCTATGTGATGAAGAGGCTGTTTCCTCCCCTTATTTGTGGGGATACACAAGGATAAGCAAACTCAAGGATAAGCAAACTCCCATGGCCTATTAAGCCCCTCGGGCGATGCACACGCCAGCATCTCGGAAGCCTCCTCCTCTCCCGGCCCAGACCAGCCCCTTCTGCTTATCTTCACGGATCATAATCACGTCTTCCAGGAAGGCAGTGAGGCTCTATTCTCCCCAGAAGCACCCCATGGAAAACTGCACCGTCATTGCAGTGAGCCATCTAATACAACAGAGGATGAGTCTGGGGATGATACCCTGAGAGAAGGGATGCAAATCAATACTGCACTTTGGGTGCCAAGGAGGCAGAGGGCTGTGCCATGGTGCATGTCAGCCAGCTCAGTTTCTCTCTGAGGGCCTACTCAGTACTGCTTTGAGAAGGACTTTCCCAATTTATGAAAAAAAATTCATCTTGACCCACAAAGGCAGTGTCAACAGAACCTCCCACCATCCGCCCACACTTAGGACCAACCTCGCTGCCTACTGGGACTGGGTTTATTTGATCTCATCATTTGGATGAGAGAACAGAAATTTCTGTGTGAAGCCAATTTTAGTTCCTCTCCCACCTTTCTCCAGGAAATGTGATTCTCAGGACTGCCAAGAGCAACTGAAAGGAAAAGTACAGAGGGAAAGAGACACAGAAAGACAGAGACATGGAAAGGGAGACAGAAAAAGGAACACAAATAGAGAGACAGAGAGAGATAGAGACAGAAGAAAGAGAAACAGAGGCAAAGGGTTAGTGAGAGAGACAGAAACATGCAGAGGTCACTGCCTTCCTTTACAGCCTGTTGGGCTCTGCGCTTGTGGGTTCATTCTTGCTGTAGCCAGCATCACAGAGTGGCCCTCGGTGCCTCGCTGGGTGGGGCAGAGCCAGGCCCGAGCACCACATCCCTCACCACTGAGGCCCCCAGGCGTGCTTTTCAGGTCGGAAGAGTCGTCGTCAAATAAGTGCCTCCTGATCATGCAGATCTTCAGGGCCAGGAAGCCAGCAGATATGGCGACACCCACAGCAGTCCCGATGAGGGCGTACTTGAAATCTGAAACGCAGGGAGGAATTGAACACCCGGTTTCAGTCACCTGCAGCTCCCTCTGCATTCCAGATGAGGTCCAAAGCATGCATGTGGCCCTTAACACACCACCTCCCACTGGCTGAGGCCAGCCTCACCTTCTACTCTCCCATGAGTCCCTTTGCTCCTAGCCTCTGCCTGCACCCCATCCCCTCCTTCAGCTGTAGAAACTGTTGCCACCTTTCAAGGCTCCCTGAAGCTCACCTGGCTACCCCTGCCCAAAAGGTGAGTGGCTCATTTCTCTGGCCACCTGAGCCTCCTAGCCCTTCCTCACTGATCCCTTCGTTAATTCATCCACTCATCTATTGGGTGTGTGTTAATTGCCTGCTCTGTGGTGAACACTGCAGGAGAATGGATAAGGCCTGTCTGGCCTTTGAGGAGCCTGCAGTCAGCTGGGGAGGACAGGGAAGGAGCTCATGACGGGAGAGGCTGGGTTGGCCTAGAGTCATGGGCGTCCAGAGCCTTCTCAGAGGGTGAGGCATGCAGACTGAGCCTGGCCAGCAGATGAGGCCCTTAAGGGGCAGACAGGCTGGAAGCTCGCAGGTGGAGGGAGGCACCGATGAGGGCTGTGAGCCTGGCAAAGCATGCTGTCAGGGCCCATGGCTGTGGGACAGGGCTCAGTGGGTGCTGGAGCCACGCATCTGTGGCCCTGAGGTATCACGTCCCCTGTGTGGACGAGCTTTAATGCAAGGCCTTTCCCCCGAAATAAAGCTGTCAGCTGCTCTGGGGGACCTGGAGGTGAGGGTGCCCCTTTTCCTATGCTGACAGCAGGGAACCAATTCCAGCACTGCGGCCCTCTGCTTGCTTGTCTTGGGAGCTTCCTTCCTGCCCCTGACCCTGTGCACAGAATAACATGGGCAGCCACGTACCAATTTCAGCCCCAGGGGTCTTGCCTGTTGCCAGCACTTGAGCTCCTCCTACATCTGCAAAGAAAGAAACCCCAGAGCCTGGTTAGAACAGAGCTGGCTGTGGTCCCAGCTACCCAGTCTCAGAGGCCTGGGAAAGCCTACCCCATGTACCCACCAGGAGCACAGAGGTGGGCTCCCAATTGCCATGGAGTGTCTTGGAGCCTTGCTGAGACATCAGAGCTTCCCTCAAAACTCAGACCAGGAACGCGTCTCCACCCAATGCACTTCAGTCAGCCGTTCAGCACAGTTTCCAAGACCTGAACTCTGACCCAAGCCTGCTCCACAAGCTCCCCTGTGGCTCCCAAGGCCCTCCTTAATCCAGCATGGCTTTGGTGCTTCTAGTTCCCCACACAGCCAGGGAATCTCCTGCCCTGCCTCAGGGCCACACCCTCTGCCTGACCCCATCTTCTTCCCTTCCTCCTTTACCTGGTCTTGGCTCCATGCCACTTCCTCCCTGACTCCCCAGACCTGGGTGAGCTGATCCCAGTGTGCTCCGTAGCCGTGGTGCTTGCCGGCCATAACTGACCATGTCAATATGTAACAACATTTACATAGCACTAGTTTGCTCCAGGCTCCATCCTAAAAGCTTCTCACATATTAACACATCAATACGTCTTCTGGCTGGTCTCGCTCTGGGCTGCGTGGTATAGTGTCCAGCATTTGATGCAGTGCTTGGCCCACAGGAGGCATTAATAGACATTGGTGAATGGAAGGAAGGAAGGAAGAAAGGAAGGAAGGAAGGAAGGGAGGGAGGGAGGGAGGGAGGGAGGGAGGGTGGGAAGGAAGGAAAGAAAGAAGGAAAGAGAGCATGCTGTAAGGGTCCCTCCCTCTTCTAGCCAGGCCTTGAAACCTTAAGACAGGAGATACTGCTCACAAACAGCGCCCTAAAATAGTGATCCAGAGGTGAGGTCCTTGGAGAGAAATGTGCACATTTATTGGCCACTTACTCTGAGACGGACACTGGGTGCAGTGCTGGCATTAATATATGTAATACTCACAGCAACAACTCTGTGAGATAAGTACTGTTATTATTGCCATTCGCAAAATGAGGAACGGGAGGCATTGTGGTCTTGCTAATTTGCCCAAGAGCCAAGATAAGTGGGAAGTGGCAGGTTTGCACTGAGAGTCCAGGAAGGCCTACAGACGTGAATGTGAATCCAGTGAACTAACAGATACAACACCACCAAAACCATCAAGCCCTAGGGCTGCATGGACTTGGGCTGGGGATGGGCAAATGGTAAGATCCAAGTCTGAGTCTCACATTCAAACTTCCAGGCAAAGGCAGGAGAGTGTGCTACCACTCCTGTTTCTCACAAAGGGAAACAAGTGACTTCACTGGGAAAGACCAGATGGTATGATGAAGGAAGCATCATAGCAAAGACATCCTCCACCCAACCCTGTCTGCTGACCACACTCAGTGATGCCCAGAGTGGCGTGGTAGGTTGGAGCTCTGCAGGGGACAGCTTTGCTCTGTGTGTGTTTGGTGGAGAGAGGAATTGTCCTGCTAGAGTTCAGAATTTTTTCCGGCAGTCTAATTTTTTAGACTGGTAAAGATTCCCCAAGCTTTTTCTAAAGCAAAAGTTCTCAGCTTTGTTCTAATCACAGATATTTTTGAAAATTCAATGACTTATCTTCTCTCTTTCCCACAGATCACAAGCCCCATGTGAGCACATTTGCTCACACACACAGACACCACCGCACACAATATGACTCTGATTTTGTCTGTTCTCTGAAGCCCCAATCAGCTTCATTCCATTGTCTTATTGTTTTTTTTAAGTCAATCTTGCTGCTCCAGCTAGGTTGAACATCGTTCCGGACATGGGGCAAAGGCTTATATTCAATGGAAGGCTGTGGGTGGGAGCACATTTCCAGACTGACACTCCCAACTCAGAGCTGTGTGTGCTACGTCTTCACCCTTTCCTGGGACGGGACCCTTTGCTGACACCTCTGATCTCTCTCTGCCTTTACTGGGCAGAAGGCAGGAGGACAGGGGAGGGCAGGGCCTCAGTGGGTGGGGCCAGACCCCTGAGCCCCAGGCTCACCCCACGCCCTCCCCCTGCCACACTAGCATGTTGCTTGGTCCCCCCTCCCATCCTCCCTTGGTGGGCATTGCTCTCACTTGCAGTGTTGGCATGGAAACTTCATGCTAGCCTGAGATGAAATCCGAGCAGAGAGGAAGGAAGGACTCAGGTTAGAAAGGGTGAGAAAGACATAGGTACACACAGAGACACTCAAGAGACACACTCAGGCTGTGCTTGAGTCACTCAGACCATCATTGGGAGGGAAGAGAAAGGAAGAGGAGAAAGCCCTAACATCAAAAGGCCCCAGCCCTGGCCTTGGTTTCTCCAACAGCATCACGGTCTCCATTCTCGCCAGGCTGTCCTGCATCCTTCCTCATTGACTTCACCCCCCAAATGTGTTGCCCTGAACCCTCAGCTCCTTCTGCCCCTCTCTGTGGCTGGGACCCCTGGCTGAGGTTCAGCTCACCCCCAAAAAGAGGCCAGTCCCTTAGGCACCATCCTCTATGTCCCATCCTGTGTCCCCTCCAAGCTGTGAGGCTTCCCCTAATCCCTGGCCCCAAAGAGGCTCTATTTTTGGTGGTCTGACTTAGGGACTGAGTGAATTCCCACTGCCACCCCAACTCCACCACCACCTTGAGTCACTTGCAGGGAGACCAACGTGGGCAGATAACCCAGCTGTGCACTCAAACAGCCAAGGGCCCAGCCCTTCCTGCGAGCCAGCCCCACAGCCACTCAGTGGCAGCCTTTCCCCTCCTCAGGGAGGGAAATCCCTCCATGCAGCCCTCCTGTGCTTGGAGCTGTGACTCTACACACTCATGAGCCCTTGGGTGAGGGTCCATGCTCAGCACAGCAGCCTGGCCGGCCCCACCCCTGCATCCTGCTAGGGTCATGAGCTGGGGAGGACCCCCTGGGCCATAGACCCCCTGCAAGCCTCCAGCACTGGCTGATGTCCCCTGGCTCTGCAAAGTAGCTGGAGGATGGCTGGCCCTAGCAGGCCTGCTTGGACATCACAGCCAGAGGTCTCTGGAGTGCCTCGGCTGCATTTAGATCTGTGGGAGACCCCAGGAGGAAGCCCACGAGGACCAGCAGGAACTGCACTGCATTTTCTCTGTGGGAATTCTCCGAGATCTCATGCAAGAAGGAGGAGGGAGCTTGGCACCCACAGGAGAGTCCTAGGGGACTGAGGTAAGGCTGTGTGAAACAGGCACCCTTCTAACCTGTAGATTTGCTGAGGCCATAATAGGCACAGTTCTGGCCAAATCTGGCTTCACCCCATCTGACTGCTACCACCGACTGCATAAGTCTGGCTGACCACCTCCCTTGAACTGTTCACACTGGGCAGGGTCAGAGAGCCAGAATACAGGCCCTTGCTGCTGCCTAGAGCAGAGAGCAGAGGGCAGAGGGCTACCTCCAGAGGACTTGCTGAGATGCGGGGGCTTTCCACAGCCTCCACCTGTGTAGCTTCCATGTGTGGTCAGATCAGCCTCTGACCATAGAAGCTTTTCCTAATTTGCACAAGGGCACTCGATGGGCTCTAGATTCTAGAGTTTCTGCTTTCTCCCTGATGCCCCATTTGGACCTGGTACTCTGTGCCTCCCTGACAAAATAGTGGGCTCCAGCCCCCTCACAGCTGCCATTCCCACCTCAGGCCTGCAGCACACAGATTGCTCTGTAAGTGGCTCTCCCAACAGCAAGAAGCCCTCTGCAAGAGTGGATGTCCCTCTGTCTTATGGTCCCCCAGAAACATGGGAGGGCAGCCACCCCAGCTCCTGGGGAGGAAGATGGCAGGGCTGCTCTACACAAGCTGAGATGAGTTATTTTGGAGAGAGCTGAAGGCACGGCCTAGCTTTGCCCCATCTCACTTGGAATCTGACCTGCTGAGAGCCCATCCCCGGCATCCAGGCCTCTTTGAGCTGTCCACCTGTTGGGTCCACCCTTGATGGGGGACTGGCACTCTTTGCCACCCTTATTTGGGCAGAATCAGGCTGTGGGATTCCCAGTTGTGGGCCAGTAGGCGTGCGTGCACTCAGATGTCGTTCTATAAGTATTTGAACTAAAAATAGGGAGAGGCTGCCCTAAGTGTTTGTCAATGATGCCCGGCCATAGTCTTCTTGGGACTTAAATGTTGCAGAATGGCTCCTAACTTTAGAGCTCATGAATTCCAACATTCTCAGCTAGAGGAAGTGGCTTTGAATGTCTAGGACAGGCTTCCTTATTCTCCTAACAGGGCTCACACATGTAAATAAAGAGCCTATAGGGTGTTCCAGGGGGCCCCAGTGCCTAGGAGAAATCAAAGAGCAACCAGAGACCCAAGTGCCCCATGAAGGAGCTCACAGAGTGACCAGGGAGACAAGATTTACACTGAATAAAAGATCAGAGTGTCACAGGCAAAGCTCAGCGCCTTCCCCAAGCCTCAGTCTCACAAGCTGGAGGAAGTGGGAACAGGGTGCAGAGTGGGCACTGGTGCATGGCCTGCCTTCCTCTCCTGACTAGCACCTCAGTTTTCCTCTGAGCAACAAGAGGCCCCACAGCCAGACCCCCAGCCAACCCTACTCACTGGGGAAAGGGTTTGTTCCACCTTCGAGCCTCTCTGTGGGGATCTGAGACTTCACTATGACCTCATGATGGGTAGGAGGGAAGGATATTTGGAACCAGGAGATCTGAGTCCCCATTCTGCCACCCATTGCTCAGCCAGTGGCCTTGGACCAGACACAGCACGGCTCCCAGCTCAATGGCCTCATTGCACACAGAGCATGGCTGGGCAAGTTCCCAAATTGAGTGTGTGCACAGAGTGAGGTGCAAGTGGCAGCTGCCCTTCTACAAGCAAGCACACCACCACCTGAGACGGGCATCTGCCAATTTCTAGGGGTGATGGGCAAAGTGGGGGAGCCAAGCACACCAGGAGGCACTCCACGTGACTCCCACAGGGCTGGCTCCTGGGGAATGTGTGAACCCTGCCTGACCAATTAGCACATTTATTCTTCCTGTCAACTGTGATTGGTCAACAGGTGGGGCAGAAGATCCAATTCAGACCAGTGACACCTAACTCAGAGCCTCAGGGGAAACTGAGAAGCAAGAATGTCTTCCAGAGCTGAGAGCTATGGGGCCAAGGGAGGCCTGCGTTTGCCCACTGCAGGGAGCCTGCAGACTGAAGTCCCTGCTGAAGAAGGTTGAGCCCAGACCAAGTCCTAAAGATGCTTTGAAGCTTCTGAATCCAGCTGTGCCCGAAGCACTTCTCCCTGGACTTTTGAGTCACCTCAGTAAGGAAATAGCTTCTTTTTCTTACTCTTATCTGAGCTCGGTAACTGTCATCTGCAAACAAAGGAGTCCTAATGACTTCGGTAGTGGGTCCTGAGAGGGCGTCACTGGAGACTGGGAGATAGGAGCAGAGAAGGCTGGCTGTGAAGGAGGAGCTATACCACACAGCCCCACACAAGCTGGACTGGGATGTGCAAGCCATGCAACACACACGGCTCCTGGCCTCTGCACAGGCTG
This sequence comes from Homo sapiens, assembly GCF_000001405.40. NCBI lineage: Eukaryota > Metazoa > Chordata > Mammalia > Primates > Hominidae > Homo > Homo sapiens. The sequence goes on from NC_000010.11 coordinate 49,173,464, forward strand.
CTGCTCTCTTTGCCGCAATGCTTTTCCCTCGTCCCTGTGGAAAGTGCTTATTTATCCTTCAAAGCCACTCCTCTGAAAGTCCCCCTTGCTCTCGTCAGTCCAGGATCACTCCTTCCATGTGTCACACCTCTCCCCCGCACTGTTGGCCCCAGTCTGCAGCTTGCTCTATGGCATGAAGGCCACAAACAACCCAGAGGAAGCTGTTTCTCCCAAGAGCGAGATGATGCATGAGAGCCCTCGGAAGCTGGACTCTTCTCCTGGGGGATGCCGAGAAAGGTGGATGGGAGAAGTCTGAACTGAGTGTTAAACCAGAAATGGCTTGAAGAGATAAGATCTAGTGTAAGTACTGAGTGGTACGGAGCTCAGGATCCAAGTACAGTTCAGCCACAGAGAGACAAGGGGGGGCGATAGCGTTTCCCCTGTGGCTCTGAGACCATGTACACTGTAGTGGCTCCATCTTCCAGCCCACTGTGAGCCTTGGAGGCCCAGCTGGCACACACTTTTCTGAGCCAAGAGGCTCAGAAAAGAAATCAGATGTGTAGAGTCAAGGGAGACAGCCCAGCTATGCTTCACACAGCAGATTGATCCTGGGCTTCCCTTTTTTCATCTGAAAATGGGGATGCAGGACGCTGACATATAAAAGACTCACCAGAGACAACCCTGCCTTTCTGCCCATTTATCCTGTGCTACCCTGCAATGTTAGTGGACCCTGGGGTCAGAGTGAAACACAAGTTATACTTCTTAAATTTAGCTGGCTTGGGTGATATGGGTGCTGGCGGGCCCTGCCCCTGCCCCTGCCTCAGGGCTCACAAATGGGTCTGCTTCTCAGGCACTCCACGGGGCTGTTTGAAAGTGGAAATGAAGTGCACCTACCCCAAGTGCAATAGCACCTGTTCAGCCCTCTCTCTAGCAGAATGCAGGGGCATAGGTCATGGGCCTTGGCTACACAGTCCTCCTACTTCCAGCATCGCTCGGCTCTTGCCGGAGTCTAGACACTTCTAGACCATGACTTGCAGAAATCTCAGAGTCCCCATCTCAAACCCCGGAACCACCTGAGATTTCTCTTCCTCAATCACCCTCCAGTCTTATCAGAGCATGACTCTAAACAGGACGTCTGCAGACCCCTCCCATGCCGCTTGTGGTCCTTGCTTTCTGTGCAAGGAACTAGGCTGGGGCAGAACCCAAACCTACCTGGCAAAGCTGTACAAAAGGAACACACGGGAAAAAGGTGTGCAAAGCAGTGGTGGGGGGTGGTATGAGGGGGACTCTGGGAGCTTTTAGACAACTCCTTGATTTCCATGGACCGCCCCCCATCCACGGAAAGACAATATGCGTGGTGTCAGAGCAGACCACTTGCTTGGCAACTCCAGCTCAGGACCCCTGCGACCCTGACGCTAAGGCTTCTGGAAGACAGGCAGTGATTAAGGAATTCCACATACGGCAGTCCCTGCTAATGCGTGAAAGTACAGTGATTAGCCAGCCAGGTGGGCCAAGGCGGGCACCTAACCCAGCCTGGGAGTGTCACAGAAGCTCCCCCGGAGAGATCATTATTTAAATTAAAAACAAAAGGACCAGTTGGAGCTAATAAAGTCTCGGTGAGGTGGCAGCAGGGACTGGAATGGAATGTGCCCAGACAGGGAATGTGACCAGGCAGAGGACAAGGTACAAGCAAAAGCCAGGCGATTCAAGGAGGTACAGAGGGCTTGAGGGCTAAAGAAGGAAGCTGAGCAGGGTCAGAGCAGCTGGGGATACTGGCATAAGATGTGGCCGGCACTGTGGACAGATAAGGTTTTCAGAAAAGCAGAGGGGAGAGTCCTGTGGCCACCCTGCTCCCAGAGGTGGGAGTGCTTGGCCACTCATATCTTGCCTGCTACAATGCCTCTGTGCCTTTTCTCCTCGCCGCACGCCACCCTGGGCAGGAACGAGAAGCAGGAGGCCACGGAGGGCCATGCAGAGGCCACCCCAGGCTGAGATGCACCAGGGAGCTTGCCTCTAGCTTCCAGAAATAGCATCATAATTAAGAGGGAAACAATAACAGCGGGTGACCAGGAGGTATCAAAACTGGTGCCCACTTTGTTTTTCTTGAGCACTCTTTGCTAATTAATTCTTAAAGATTCACACAGTGGGATTAAAACACTCAGCTCACAGAAGCCAAACTGATCAATACCTTTTCAGGCTAATGGAGGGGTGGAGGCGGAGAGCTGGCCTGGGCCTGAACCAGGGCTAGGAGCTCCTCCAAGGGGGCAGGGCCCCCCCCACCTGGTGTCCCAGGTCCATTCTGACCAGGAGTGGTGACACATGTGAGCACTGAGCCACACCTGGGAAGGGGCTGCTGAAGCCTTGAGGAAGACGGGGGTTCTGGAACAAGGAGGAGCCTGAGGCTGTCGTGGTTGGGTGGACAGTGGTATCCAGGGAGGGCCAGATCAGAGGCCCCACAGCCGGACACCCAGCCGACCCTACTCACTGGAGAAAGGACTTGCCCCACCTTTGAGCCTCTCTGTGGGGATCTGAAACCTCACCATGACTCCCATGGTGGGTGGGAGGGAAGGGTATTTGAAACCAAGAGATCTGAGTCCCCATTCTGCCACCCATTGTCAGCCTGTGGCCTTGGACCAGACACAACATGGCTCCCAGCTCAGTGGCCCCATTGCACACAGAGCATGGCTGGACAAGTCCCCGGAAGGAGTGTGTGCACAGAGTGAGGTGCAGGCAGCAGCTGCCCTTCCACAAGCAAACACGCCACCACCTGAGATGGGTGTCTGCCACTATCCTAGGGGCCATGAGTGAAATGGGGAGCCAAGCACACCGGGAGGCACTCTGGGAAGGTGCTCAGGTCAGAAAAGAGGTGGCGCTCCCCAGCAAGGGCACAAGCCTCTGCTGTTTCGAGAAATGGCCAAACCAAGGCCTCCCATAGCCTGTACAATCCCAGTGAAGAGGGGCCTGGCCACTTGATGTTGGTGCTTCAGACCAGGACAGGCCTGTTTGCAGGAGCAACTCTCAGGGCATGCCTTGCAGAGAGAGCAGGGGAGGCTGGAAGCCGTGCGGAATAACTAATTAATGATGGTAAAGTATTGTGGAAGAGGAAAGCGTTGCATAACCGCTAAGTGGTGGGGTTATTATTATTCATGCAATATTCATACTGTGCTCTTCAGCCTCTGGGAAGCATTGCTCTGGAGTCCTGAGGGACCTGACCGAGGGGAGTGCGCATCCAGGGAGCGGGGCTGTGGGATGACAGCTGTCCTGGACCATGGGAAAGGGGTCATGATGCTGCAGAGGAAACGGCAGCACACAGCCTGCACCGGAGCCCCTTACTAAACCCATCAGCCTCCACTTACCGGGACAGATCATTCGTAAACCCTGCGAGGCACCAGCATCCGTGCTAGGCATCTCCACTCTAGTTAGCTTTTTAAGACAATTCCTGACATTTGCAGAGCCTACAGCATGCCACATGTCTAAATATTTAAGTTATAGATCAAGCCCCACGCATGGTCCAGCCGAAGTCCCCCTGACCCCATGGCCCTGCAGTCCATTCTTCAGGGGCCCCTTCCAGAGGGGGAGGTGCAGCCCTGCTGCCTGCCGCCAGGGGAGGCAGGGTCAGATGGGTAGAGCAGAAGGAAGCCAGGCCTGGCCTGGGCCACCTTGAACCACAGACCCTCCAGGACCAAGGATGGCTCCTGAGCCATCAGACTCACCAGCGAGTTCCCTTACCCAAGCCCTGGCTTTTCTCCTAGAGTTCTGGGCAATGCTCAGTCCCCAGAGGAAACCACCAGGTGGAGGGATCAGGTGCAGTTATCTGGGAATCTGGTCTTTTGGAAATTGAAATAAAAGCATTTCCTCCCTCCCTCTCTAGTTCCCAGGGCAGCCACAGGCTGTGGTTTCCCTGATTCGGGTCCTCACTTTCAGCTGCACTAAGCCATTGCACACAAACCTCCCTCTCTGTTTGCCTGAGTGCTGACCCGGTTCCTGAACTCTCAAAACAAGATAAAAAAGAAAAAAATTCTTCGCATTTGCATTTGTGTGTGTACGTGGGGTCCTGGAGCCAGTGTCAGGACAAGGGCCTCTCTTGGGGACAGTGGCCTCTTTTCATGGGAAAGCCCCAGGAAGTGACGTGACCTCTTCAGGCTCCATGCCTGAGCCTGAGTCACTGGCTCCGAGGAAGAGTCTCACAGCAGCATGGAGGGTGAACAGTCATTACAAACTGACCAAAGTATCTTAATGTGTCACATGTGACTCAACAATCAGGGCTCATCTGCGGTTTGGGAGGGTCTCTTTTCTTTAGGACTCTAGGGTTAGCTCAGGGAGCTCTGGCTGGGTCTGCTCAGCCCTCCTTGCCACACAGCCCTGGCCTTGCCTGTCCAACACTGTCTGCCAGTGGGGCTAAGCATGGGCTGGCCAGGAGCTGGGATGGACACCAGTTTACTCAGCCACACACCTTGAGCTCAGGCCACACACTGCTTGCCTCAGGGAAGTAGCTGTGAGAGATGGGTGCCCTGGGGCCTCAGAAGCCAACATGACCCTGCTGGTGTGGCCTGGGACAAATCCAGCCAGCCTCCCCTCTCCTGGACTATCCATTTGCCTTCTCCTAGTAAGTCTCCCTGCCTCCAACCCATCTGGGGCACTGCAGCCAGGCACTCTTCCTGTAAGGCTGTTTAAAATCCTACAGAATAAGGCCCAATGTCCTCCCAGGGCTCATCAAGCCCTCCTCTTTTGCTGGCCCATGTCACCTCTCATTCTCCCCTCTTGCACAACCCCTGTAGTCCATGCTGCCCTTGCCCGGGGCCTCAGCAGAGGCTGTCCTCTCTTCTTAGGATGGCACGCCACCTGTCCCATTCTTGCAGACTGGCTCCAGAGGCTGATGTTCCACTTCGGGCAATAATTGACTCAAACAAGTGCTAATTACTGAGCAGGTTCTAGAGCAATGGCCCAGCAAGACCAGATCTCTCCCCTGACGGTGGTGACAGTACAGAGGGGAGTGGGAGTATCTCTATGACCCTGGAGGGGAACAGCATCATCCCATGCAAAACAGATGACATGTGAGGAGGCTGGACAGTAACCTGATGGATGTTCCCTGAGACCAGGGAGCAGGAACAACAGGGGATGGCTCGTGACAGGTCTAGGAGGCCAGTGACATAGTAAACACTTTAGTACTTGCTGGCAGCAATAGGAAGCTGCTGAAGGATTTCACCTAGGCAGAGATGTACGCAATTAGCATTCAATAAGACTCCTCCTCCAGGAAGCCTTCCTGGATACTCTAGTTTGGTTCAAGAGCTTCTCCTTTTTCTTCTGTGAGTCCTTCGTCTCAGTATTTAACACACTGCATTGCAACTGTCCCCTGTAGACTGTCAGCTCCTCAGGTTGGAGCCTGACTTACTTATTTTCATGTGCCAGTAGACCTTGGTGAAAATCAATATTTGCTTAATCAAAGAGAAAGCTCTGGGTGTCTGTGTGTCCCAGTCCTCCAAGACAGCCTGTGGGTCCAGCTCCAGGTCCTTCACCTCTTGCCCTGAATAGTGACTTCTCGATAACATGGCCAAAGAGTTTGCAAAGGTGTGAACAGGGCTTGGCTGCAGCTGGGGTCCAGGCAGGAGTTCCCCAACTGACCATCTGCTTCACTCAGACAAGCAGGGGAGAGTGAGCCCAGTCCATCTCACTAAGAACCATTATCCAGTTATTTCATGGAATCAAATTTAATAAAGGGAGCAGTTCAAGCAATTGTGGTAGATAAATGAGGGTCTAGATGTGACAACAATGCTTATAGTGACTTTAAAGAGGAAGTGGAGATAGTTTAATTTGGGAGCTAGTGAAAAGGTCTGCTGAGTATGTGTTGGCCTGTGGGGCTCGGCTTTATAGCCGCCCAGCTGTGGCCCTCATCAGGGATTGAGGATCAGAGACTCCCCAGCAGGCATTCTGCCTTCATCCCCACTCCTTCTTTCACCCCATGGGGAAGACTCCCTTCAGGGGCCTCTAGAATCAGGACTGTGTGTCTGAGGGAGGTTTGCCAGCCCAGGGTCCCTCCCCAAAGAGCATTACTCCAAATCACCCATCCTCCAGAACTCTTTTCAAACTTACTTTTCTGGAAAGATGAAATAGGTTTACTTTTCCCTATTCCTCTCACTAAGCATAGCTAAAATCCCTAAATATTATATTAAAAAAACAAATATAAAAAGACCCCCAAAAATGGAGAGAAGAAGGCAGACTGGCTAGGCACCTTCAGAACTCAGGAATAACAGGGCAGTGAATTTCTGGGTTTTCTTTTTGCCTCAGATGTCCCAGATGGGAATTGGAGAAGCTGGCAACCCTGTAATGCCAATGGGCACAAACACAGAAGCCCCAAGAAAAGCCAGCTCCCACGAGCCAAAGACTGGGAAAGGTGCAGCCTAGGAAGACAAGACTTTTAGGTGATAACCACTCCACAACGGTCAAACAGCACAGAAAAAACTGTGCCCTCACCCCAAGCCCCACCCTCATCAACAGAGGCCGAGTGGAGACCTGGGCTTCCACGCTCACTGCTCAGTTATAAGGAGCCCCCACTCCCCAACGAGGGTGGTGTCAGAGGGTCACATGGGGAAGAGAGGGCTTCATGCCCAATGAATGAAAAAGTCCCCGCCCCCAGGGGTATCAGTGGAGACCCTGTGGGATCCTGCTCTTTCACCTGCTCCTGGCAGTGACAAGGTGCCTCTCACCCTTCCTGCTAGGAAAGAGTCAGGACGTCCTACACTGCCCAGCCACCACGAGGCTACCCCCACCCCACAGTGTCAGCAAGGGACACATGAAGAGCAGTGATGAGCCTGGGTACTCCCAGCAGGGTGCTGTCTGCAAGTGCTAAAGGGGAAGCCCACCCAAGCCCGAGGCTGACGTTCCACTTCTGGCAATAATTGACTCAAACAAGTGCTAATTACTGAGCAGGTTCTAGAGCTATGTCCTAGAACCTAGCCTGCACCCCACCCCACAGTAACACAGAGCCCTTCTCCCATCAGGTGTCAGTGGTGGCCAGAGAGGATGTCAGGCTCCACCCCCCTAGCAATTATGAGGAAATGCCCCTTTTCTCTCGACAGAATGATATCTGAGGAGGCCTGTTAAAATTGAAGACGTCAATAAGATTCAGAGTTTCATAACATCAAATCCAAAATGTTCAGGTTTCAGTGGAAAATTATTTGTCATAGCAAGAACCAGGACAATCTCTATTTGAATGAAAAAAAAAATCAACAGATGCCATCACCTCGATGATACAGAGTTAGAGTCATCTGACAGAGGTGTCAAAGTAGCCATAAAACTGCTTCCATGAACAATTGTGAAAACTTCCTCAACTTCACAAAGAATATCTGCAAAAGCACCTACAGCTATAACCAAACTTCATGGTGAGAAACAAAATACTTTTCTACTAAGATCAGGAACAAAGCAAGAATATCTACCGTCACCACACCTGTTCAACCTAGTACTAACGTTCTTGTCAGCCTAGTAAGATGAGAGGAAATAAAGGCATACTATTCAGGAAGGAAAAAATAAGACTAACCCTATTTGCAGAGAACATGACAGTCAACATAGAAAATCTCGAGAGATCTGAAAAATAACTCTCTTTAGAGTATGTGGTGGTGGAATACAATAAGATTAACATATGCAAATCAATGATGTCTCCATATGCTCACAATTATACACAGAAAGAAATACTTTAAATACAACACAACTTACGATCACTCATAAATTATGCAGGTGTAAGTCTAATAGCACAACCTTGAAGAAAAAAATCCAGAAGGATCTTAATAAATGGAGACACATACCAAGTTCATGGAAAAACACAACATGATAAAGATGTCAAATCTCCCCAGATTGATCTATAGGTTTAATGCAATTCCCATCAAAAGCCCAGCAAGACTGTTTTTGTAGATGTACAAAAGATTATTTTAAAATTTACATGGAAAGATAAAGGAAAGAGAAATGCGAAAAATCTTTTTTGAAAAGGAAGAATAAAGTAGAAGAAATCACTCTACTCCCTTGAGACTTAATATATTTACAGAAATCAAGACTGTGTGGGATTGGCAGAAGGACAGACACATCAGTGGAAAAGAAAAGAGAACCCCAAATTAGCCCCACCCAAGTATGACCAACTGATTTTTGACAAAGGGGCAAAATATATTCAATAGAGGAAGGATCATTTTTTCAACCAACAGTGCTGGACCAATTAGATATCCAAGGTTAAAAAATTACCTTGATTAAATTCATACTTTAAACAAAAAGAGCTCAAAATTGATCATAGATTTCAATATAAAACATAAAACTATGTAAATTTTAGGGGGAAATCTTGAGATCTTAGAGTTTGGTGCAAACTTCTGAGACATGCTATCAAAAGCACAGTCCACGAAAAAAAAGATTAATAAGTTAGGCAATTAAAATTAAACATTTTTGTTCGTAAAAGACCCTGTTAAGAGAATGAAAAGACAAACTATAGACTAAGAAAATATTTGCACTCCACATATTTGACAAAGGACTAATATCTAGAGTATATAAAGAACTCTTAAAATTCAACAGTAAAAGAAAAAAGCAAGCAATTCATTTAGAAAAATGGGCAGAAGTCATTAGGGGAACTCTTGCCCTATCAGGAAGTATCTCTTGCCTACCTGAGGTTTCAGCCTCTTCCTTGACCTTCTGCTGACTTGCAAGAGACCCTGGTGTATTCGTTTTTTGTTACGTTTGTAGAGATTTGTTATGCAGCAAAATAAAACAAATGTACCAAGGATTCTTCCTTACTAACATTCACACACCACATAATTCTGAACTATTGTCTTGGCAGGAACTTGGAACAGGGGAACAGCTGTCAGGAAAAATTTTTACAAAGATCTCAGGGACTCAGACCCAAGGAATAAAGTGATGACTTTGACTTGTAAGATAAAAACGAATTTAATTCTCTTTACCCGGGCCTCTGCCATCTTTTCATTATAAATTAAGGGAGAAAAAAAAAGACTCTGCTCTCTTCAATAACTCTGGCTCCTTCAGTGAAGAATGTTTTAGGCCCTGGAATGTAATTAAAGTGATATTGTATCTCTCTTATTATCATGATTATAATAATACATAGATTTCAGCAGATGCTTGCCAACAGAATTAAAACTGAGATAGATGGCCGACATTTTGGATGGAATTAGAGTCCACAGGAATATTTTATATGACAGCTTTTTTAAAAGGAAGATGCAGACCTCTAATAAAATGCCTAGAAATTTCACCAGATATTTTCAATAGCTAGTCTTAGATCAATATTTTAGCAAAATTTAAAAATACTGATTGGTTGATATTTAAGTAGAAATTTATTTAGAATTGTGACAACCATAATCCAAAACCTAGTTTTAAGGTTTTTTTAATCAGGATGGCAAAAATACATCAGCCTTCCTCAGGCATCCCGTGCCTCTAAGTGTAGACAGCTGAGAAGGACAGTGTTGGCCATGCAGTCTTCTGGAAGGGAATGGATATCCCGAATCAAATCACCAGGGGCTATCAGGCAAACCCCAAGATGAGGAATGTTCTGTGGGGAAAAAAGGTGGGGTTTGAAAGCTGTGCGCTTCAAAAATATCTTTATCATGAAAGACAAACAAAGGCTCAGGGGCTGTACCAGATTAAGGAAGGCTAATGTGACACAGTTGGTCACCCCCGCCATACCTGTCCTAGATTGGTTCCTGGCCTGGACACAAAACCAAGGCTATAGAGGACTTTATTGGATCCTTTGAAAATATTAGAATATGATAAATAGATTATATAAAAGTATTTTGTCAACATTAAATTTCCTAAAGTTGATGATTGTACTGTGGTATATATATTCTTAAGAAATAAACACTGATGTATTTAAGGGTTAAAAGAAACTCCATGGTATACAAAATTTACCTCAATTGTTTCAGGAAACAAATTGTGTGTGTGTGTGTGTGTGTGTGTATAGAGAGAGAAAGAGAAAGAGGCAATATATTATCAAGCAAATAAGATAAATTATTTAAAATAGGCAGTCATATGAGTGTTCTTTGTACTATTTTTATTCTTATACTTTTCTTGAAAGTTTGAATTATTTTGAAATAAAAAAATTTTTTAAAAAGTTAAAAAGTCACTTCAGTTTTTTCAATGTCCTTTCTATTCCTGACTAAGAAGCAGTTTGGCATTAGAGCTAAAAATTCAGCTTTGGGGCATCAAAATGCCTCAGTTTGAATCCCAACTGGGCCACTCACCTGCTACTTTAATCTCTCTGTGCCTCAGTTTCCTTGTCTGGAAAAATGGGCATGACTACAATAAGAGTATCTGCCTTGGGGCTGAGAAATGAACAGGGTCCACGTGGGAGTGCTGAGAGCAGCCTTGGCCCACGGTCGGCTCTCAGGAAGTGAAATTTTATCACACTTTCCAGGAAAGAGTGTTACATGTAAGAGGAAGTGAATTAAGGGCCAAAATGATTCTAGCAACAACAGTGACAAGCAGTAGATATTTCATCTATCAAGATTAGTCAGCTATAGCAAAAAAAAAAAACATTGTGGCATGATTCAAAGAGAGACAGATGCAAAAAGTGGCACAGAAGATGAAGCCCATTAATGGTTCAGACATATTAAATGGGTACAGAATAGACATAGAATATGTTTGCAATATAGAATCATTGCAAAGCAAAGAAAGGAAAGATCATTACACAGGTGATATTGCAACAACTGATGTCCCATACAGAAAACATTAAAATTAGATCCTTTCTTTAGGCCGTAAATAAAAATAAATTCCAAATAAATTAAAGACCTAATCATAAAAAATGCAACCACTTTAAAGTAAAAATAACTTTTTAAAATGCTTCTTAACACAGAAAAACCAAGCACACAAAAAGGAAAAGACCAATAAATGTGATTACATCACGCTGAAAGACTTCTCACAACAAAGGAAGCCACAAAGATAAAAGATAAGCAACATACTGAGAGAAGATATTTGGAACACATGAAACATACAAATAATTAATATCCAGAATACTACATAAAAGACCAATAATCAAATACAACTTGGGAGAAAGGTATATAAAATCAGAAATCTACAGAAAAGGAGAATGGGCTGTCTGATAATGCAGAGAAAGTAGTTATTCCTAGTAGTGATTAGGAACACACAAACTAAAATAAAAACTTTGAGATAAAATTTTATACCTCTCTAATTGTCAAGAATTGAGAAGTTGGGCAGTATCAAGTATTACTGAGTATGTAAGGAACAGATATGGCCACAACCCCCTGGTGGAGAGCAATTTGGCAATATCCAACAAAAGGAGAATTGACACGACATTTCCCCTGCCAGGGGTGTCTGCTAGAAAACCAGCTGCAGGTGGGTTCCAGGAGGTGGGGCGAGAGGGCTCATCGAAGCCTCAGCCATCAGGCTGCAAGTTAGAGACAACCTAAATTCTGACAGTATGGGAATGGATAAATAATCAGATAAATGGCAGTGTTTCTGTGGAAACTTGTAGAGTAGTTGGGATGAATGCATTTGACCCATATTATCAGAACGGGTAGATAATGCAACGTGTTCAGTATGCTATGGCGGATTCCTGCAGTTTTTAACAGCTGCAAAGTAACCCAGGAAGGAAGCACAGCCAACCCTGGGGTGCCTCTCCCTCTGGGGAGGGAGGAAAACAAGAGGAGGAAGAGAGCCAAACTCCACCTCTTATGTTCTGTTTCTCTGATGGATACATTGATTTAGCTACCTACCTTTAAATATATATCTAGAAAAAAATTTAACATTTGGTAATTCAGAGTGTTGGCTCCATAAATGTCTGTTCCATTAATCTCAGTGTTTGAAAATATTTAAAGAATATTCAAATACTGTTTCTTTAAAAACTTTCTACCTACTCTGTGTGTGGGAAAGACTGGCCTGGCTTCTCATCCCAGGGTCCCCCGGTCATACTTGGGATCCTGGATGCCACAGAGGGACTGGACAGAGAGTGCCCCCATAGCCCCCAAGTCCCCTGAGGTACAGTTCTCATACACCCTGGGTGACTGGCCTGGTCACCCACCCTCACAGACCCCCATCTGCCAGTAGATTGCACTAAACAGTGCTCTAGGCCCCTTTCTCCAGTCAATAAAGGGGAAGCCCAACGTTTCCTTCATTTGCTTTCAACAGGCTGTCATATTCGCTTTTTGTTCACAAACATTTACTTACTGGAATTAACAACATATACAATCATTATGAAAAATGCCAATACAGAGAAATTAAGATGCTGTATAATTCTTTTTCCTAAGAAGATAAAGGATAGCCGGGCACGGTGGCTCACGCCTGTAATCCCAGCACTTTTGGAGGCCGAGGTGGGCGGAACACCTGAGGTCAGGAGTTCAAGACCAGCTTGGCCAACATGGAGAAGCCGCATCTCTACTAAAAATACAAAATTAGCCAGGTGCGGGGGCATGTGCCTGTAATCCCAGCTACTCGGGAGGCTGAGGCAGGTGAATTGCTTGAACCCAGGAGGTGGAGGTTGCGGTGAGCCGAGATCGCGCCATTGCACTCCAGCCTGGGCAACAAGAGCAAAATTCCATCTCAAGAAGAAGAAGGAGGAGGAGGAAGAGGAGGAGGAGGAGGAAGAAGAAGAAGAAGAAAAAGAAGAAGAAGAAGAGGAAGAAGAAGAAGAGGAAGAAGAAGAAGAAGAAGAAGAAGAAGAAGAAGAAGAAGAGGAAGAAGAAGAAAAAGAGGAAGAAGAAGGAGACTAAACACATGCAAAATATTACTACGGAACTCTAACCTGTAACTATCACTTCATCACTTCTGTTTCATCCGTGTCAGCTCATAGAAAGGCATGTCTTTCAACTAAATATATTGGATATTGTTGGAAATACTAAAGCATAATTAACTTAGTCAAATTCCTACTGATAGTCTCTTGTTTCTGGTTCCCACCGTGGTTTCGGCAGTGTTGAATAATACCCTGTGAAATATTTTGGGAGGGTTTTACCATATTATTTCATCAGGTTATATTCCTGGAGGTGGAATTTCTGGGTGAAGGGTTATGAACATCTTACATTTCGCTTACATTGACACCCAGATTTTGCCAAATTGCCCTCTGGAGAGAGTGAATAAATGAGTCCCCTCATATCCAATAGTGAGTGCTCACCACTTATCACATCCCATGCTAAGTGCTTTAAATGTGGTAACAGATTTCATTTTCCCAATAGTCCTGTGAGGTGTCCCCAACTTACAGATGAGAAAACTGGGCACAGAGAGGATTAATTCTTTGTCCAAGTTTTCCAGGCTGGTAAACAACAGAACAGGGATGAACATTTAAGGAGTCTCGTACTGGATACCCACTCCTAACCACTGTGTACCTCTATCAATAGTATATGAAAGCAGAAACGAGCTGTGATGCCTTGGCCCAGTGATTAAAACCTTATCTATAACATGCAGGTAATTGTGGCACCTATTGCACAGAGTTGCTGTGGGAACCAAATGAGCTCATGTAACATCTTCAGCAGAGCACCCAGCACATCGACACACTAAAAAATGCGAGGAGGTGTTAGATCTTTTATTATTTGTGAGACTGGACATTTTAAAGTTTTATTGTCTGTGATTCTTCAATGAATTGCCTGTTTATATAATTTGCACATTTTTCATTGGATTTCTTAAATTTAACTTCCTTTTTTTGTACCAGGACAGACTAGTTTGTTTATCTAGGTAAGTCAAAAGCAGAAATAAGGGTTACAACTTCTCTTACCTTCCACCACGTCTCTGGGCAGGCACACTGCATCTAACCACCGTGCACACCCTTAATCGCTGCTTGCTGGTGCCTGACATCCCTTCACAGTCACTGCCAACGGCCCGTTTCCATGTGTAAACTGATGGATGATGTGGCTGGCTGTCTGTCTGACATGCTGACTCCCAAGGCCAAAGTCTTTGCTCTCCCCTGCTTAGTGCAGACTTTAGATGGAAACCTGCCCACAGCACTAACTTTGCCCGCATTCAGGATACAACCTATTGGTCTGGAGACACAAGATTTAATCTGGAGACAGACTGCTTCCCATTGAGTCTCGGCCCAGTGCAAGTTCTGGGAAGGAACGTCTTTGTATATATGAGGGACGTATGCTGCCTTTTTAGGAAACAACAGTTGATATCAGAGGGGACTTCGTAAAGGCATGTGTCTCTCTCCATCTCTGTCTCCATCTATGCATATTTCTAACCATCTCTCTATGTCTCTGTCTGTCTCTCTCTCTCTCTCTTTGAGTTTCTTCCTCTCTGTCTACTTCTCTGACTTTATATTTCTCTCCTCCATTTGGCCCTACTTTGTTTTAGTCTTTGCCTCTCTCCTTTCTTCCTTCTTTCAAGGAATGCATTAAAGATAATTTTTAAAAACAAAGATACCTCTGAGTAGCAAAGAGTCTGCTTCACTGCATGAGAATTCTGATTCAACATTAAATGTATACCAGTATCTACATGCCTACATGTTCTCATTCTATGTCAGTATTTTGATTTGACTTAATTAAATTTAACTTAACTCTCTTGAAATCCCAAAAAGTAAACATGATTATCTCCCATCTCATTGGTTCAGAAAGTTAGGGAGTTTCAGAAGCTTATTCTAGTTTATCAGCAATGGAGCCACAGTTTACACCCAGATGTTTCTAGATCCCAAGCCCGAAGCTCCTTCTGCCATGACCCTTCCTATTCTCCTTTAGCCCAGAAGCATTTGTAAGTTGCAGCTGGAATGAGACAAACAAGATCATTGCTCACTACCAGATCAAAGTGAGAAACATCATCTGTGTAAAGGGACAGAGTTATGTTTTAGGGATCAAGCCCCAGTGGGCTAAGGCTCCCCCAGTTTCCTGCCCACTGAGGCTCCCCCGGGCCAGAGACCCCCGCAGTCCCCACTTACCCAGGAGGAAGAGGATCCTCAGCATGCTGACCCCCAAGTTCATGCTGGCGCTCTGCTCTTGGCTCCTGGCTCCTGGCTGCTGGCAGCGCAGGCACAATGAGCCATGTGACCCAAGGCTCTGGGGACAGGACAAGACCCACGTGACTGATGGGGAAGGAAACCACTGTCACAGCCAGGAGGCTGTTCAGTTCCTCTCAGCCTCTCTGAAGACAGGGCTGAAGGAAGCCCCTGTCATTCTGGACTCCACCAGAAGCTGGCTGTGATTAGACCCATTGTACATGCTGGGGTATTATACCCAGTGTTCTCTCCTATAATCTTCCCCACAGAGTGTGGGAACAAAGCTCGGTAAGGTGCGGTTTCTTGCCTAATGACCCATGCTAGTAAGTCTCAGAGAGGAATGTGGGCAAAGCCGGTCTGCCCTGCAGTCCAGCCCTTGCAGTAGCCTCTGCCTTGGAGCAGAAATAGGAAATGCCCCTCCAGCCAATAGTCCAGCTCGGTCACTGTTTTTGTGCCATGGGAGCCTCTGAGTCTAGGAATGCCTATCACTCTCTTCTCAGAATAAGATTTTTAAATCCCCAAACTAAAATAGATAAGGATCATAGTAGAAATCAGTAGTATTAACACACAGTTATCAAAATATTTTGTTAAACTTGTGAAGTAGAAATATACATGCTTATTTATCCACACAGTAAATAGCAAGATCTGGCAGCAGATGAAACAGCTACCACCATCTCGACATGGTGATAAATGGAATCGATATTGAGAGATACCTGTAACAGCTGGAATGTGGATGGAAAGACCTGTGATTCCTACCAGAAATAAAGTTACTGGGTGGTAATGTTTCTGTGGTTCGTTTGCCACACTACTATTAGAAGAAGATGCTAAGTGTTCCTTAGAGGTTAGAGAACAGAGATGTAATTTTTTTCCCATCCAAGTTTACAGGCCCCATGTCCAGGTCCTTAGCCTGGAGGAACTTTGGTAGTCACACAGGCTCAGCCAGCAGGCTGAAGGCCTTATGCTCCTGTACTCCTTTATACCTGCACGTTGTCACAATGCTTAGATGTTCAGCCAAAAACCCAAATGTGCAGGAAATGTCACTTTTTAAAATATAAATCAACTTAATGACAAGTCTTGAGTCCCCCACCCAACTGAGCTGGCAGAAATCGAGCTCTTTTCATTCTTGGGCTCCCTCAGTCAAATCCCTAACGGTAGCAGCCAACACCGTGAGCACTTGCTACTGAGCCCAATGCCATCTTAGCATGCAACCTGTCCAAGTCCACGCAGCAGTAAATGTGAGAGCTGGACTCGAAACCCAGGCCTTTGGCTGGCAGCCTATGCCCCTCAGGCTGCATGTGCCCTCTGTGTACAGGTACCATCCCCTGCCAAGGTCCAGCCAGAGGCAGTCCGATTGCCCTGGTGCCACAGATGCCCCCTGGGTTCTTCTGCATGGCTGCTGTGGCTCCTTCTGAGTTTCACATAAATAATGGACATGAGAGGAGAAGGCTGGTCATGAGAGAAGCAATTGGCTTCATCTGGGTGCCTTCAAGTTCCATCTGTCCACACTTTATTCATTTGATGAAATTAAGATCAGTTTCTACCTGCACCAAGAAACATACTCTCTTATTTCTCCTGGAATATGTGGAGTTTTCTTAATTTTGCCCCAGTTCATGGGAACATGTGTAAGAAAAATATTTCACTTTCCTCTAAGTGTATTGAAAGAAAATGCCAGTGCAGACCTGACAATCTGTAGACAGTGGCTGGGGACGGTGGAGCTACATTCAGGCCAGGCCCAGGGCTTCCAGCCACACCAGGCAGTTCTGTTTTTATATGAAATCAATAAGTTTCAAATGTCGGCAACTGATTTCAAAATACTTTCGCATGGGATGAGTCAACCTAAACACCAGCATGAACTTCTGCTCCCAAACACCTCTCCAAACATCCTTGGGAGCTCGACCTGTCCTACATACTCCCAGGAGGGGAAGCATCTGCAGCTACTTCTGCTTTCACTCTGCCGTAGCCTCCGAGTCTGGAAAATGCAGTCTGCTCCCTGCTTAGACAGGCAGAGGCTCAAAACGCCCCGTAAACTAGAATCTCACGAGATGCCCTGGCACCCAGCCACGGCACCTTGGCAAGATGGTGTGTGTCTTGTTGGCGTGGCACAATGCACCCAGAAGAGCGGATGCCCCACCCTGTACCCCTGTAATGAACGCCCAGTTCTGACCGTGAGGCTGCTCCTGGCACTGGCTCACACTGGCCCAGGAGCTTGTGAGGGCAGGGCCCAGGGCACCTGGCCTAGCACCTGACACAGTGCAGGCTCCTAGCGGTGTTTGTTGAATGAAGAATTCAATTCACCCCATCTATTTGGGAGGCTGAGGCAGGAGAATCGCCTGAACCCGGGAGGCAGAGGTTGCAGTGAGCCGAGATTGCGCCACTGCACTCCAGCCTGGGCGACAAGAGTGAAACTCTGTCTCAAAAAAAAAAAAAAAAAAGAAGTCGTTTCACTTTCTTATCTCATGCTCAGCCGGCCTAGCCTCCAGCCCACCTGGCAGGAATATTTTCCAGGTCATCTAGGTGAGGAAGGTCACTGCACTGACAAGCAGAAAAGAATGAGCCCCACTCCGGCAGCTCTGACATCCTGCCCCTCACTCGGATGTGGGGCCTCTTCCAAGGCCACCAAGCCTGGGACTCTTCTGTCCTTAGCACTGCACCCTCAGGACCAGCCAGGGAGCTCGTAGAATTCATGTCTCATGTGAACGCCTTTAGTGCAAGTCACAAAAAACTGCCAAACACCATCATTACGCATCAGATTTTTACAAATTTAAAGATAGGGAGGATTCAGCACGCAGATTTGTTTATTGGCCTTACATAGAACTGTGCACCCAACAATTAGAAAATAGCCATTCAATTCAGCATGCATGCAACATTTATACCCCAAAACGGTCTCACACTGGGCCATAATACAAGTCTCAAAAATTTCAAAGAAAAGGTGACATATAGACCATATTTTCTTACCACAAGGTAATTGAATTAAACGACAGTAACAAAAATACATGATAGAAATTTCCATTGGTTTGGAAATTTTAAAACATTTCTAAGTAACTCATAGATCAAAGAAAAAATTACAGTGAAAATTACAAATAGCTGGAACTGAATGATAATGAAAATGTTGCACATGTGATTTTGCAGAATGCAAGCCGGGTAATAATTAAAAGGAAATGCATAGATGTAAATACTTAGAAAAGAAGAACTGAAAAAGGAATGAGATAAGCAACCAGTCAGAGAAGTTTGAAAAAATTATAAGCCCAGAAAAAAGGCAGAAGAAAGGAAGCAATAAATATGAGAGCAAAAATGAATGAACCAGAAGCAAGCAAAGATACAATGGGGAGGATAAACACATCTTAAAAGTTTTTTCTGAAAAAACTAATAATATGAAAAATTCCTCACAGAATGGATTTAAAAAGAGAGAAGACAAAAATAAATAATATTAAGAATAAATAAGTCCAAAAAGGTAGCAATAATGGCATTATTTGCAATCTTATGCCAATGAATTTGAAAACTTTGATGAAATGGACACAATCTCAGGAAAGTGTAACTTACTGAAATGTGCTAGACAAAAACAGCAAGACAGAAAGGTCCTGATGCCTTTCAAAAGATTGAATCAAATAGTTAAAAATCTTGCCACAAAGAAAATATCATTCCAAACTATTTTACAGAATTTTACAAAAATTTTAGAAACTTTAAGGACTAGGAAATTACAATATTAACAAACTAGTTCAGATAATAGAAATAAAATGAGTATTTTCTGACTGTTCTGTGGGTCTAGGATAATCTTTTTACCCAAACCAGGCAAGAAGAAAGCAAGAAAATAAAAGTATATCCCAATCTCACTAAATAACATAGAGGCCAAAATCCTTTTAAAAATTACCAAATCAAATGTAATGACATATATATATATATATATATATATATATATATATATATATATATATATAGAGAGAGAGAGAGAGAGAGAGAGAGAGAGAGAGAGAGAGAATAAACTACTATGACCAAGTCATTCACCACTTTAATGGATTAAAACAGAAAATAAGTTAAATTAGCTAATATGTACAGAAAAGCATTTGATAAAATCCATCATGCATTCATGATAAAAACTCCTAATAAACTAGAAATAGATAAAAACTTTCTTGATCTAATGAAAAGATATCTGCTAAAATATAACAGCAAGCGTCATCATTATGGTGAACCACAAAGAGGCAATCTCTTTAAAATTAGGAACAAGATGCCCTTTATCACTATTTCTATTCAAAATTGTCTAAGGTTTCATTAGTACAATTTAAAAAAAAAAAAAAAAAGGAATACAAATAATGAGGATTGGGAAGGAAGAAAAATTTATATTCTTAGTTGATATGTTTGTCTACACAGAAAGCCTTTAAGACTCCAGGACTAATTGTTAAAAATAATAATATGGCTGAATGCAAGGTCAGTATTTTTAAAAATCAATTTAATTTGTATATACTAGTAACAAAAAGAAAACATGTTATTAAAAAATATAAAATTACACAACCACTATTCCATAATATATATGTATTTTAAAATAACAAGTACCTGATAAATACATACAATTTTGTTAATTAAATAAATACATAAAAACTAATAGTAATAATTAGACCACATGACCAAAAATAATATATATATATACATATTTAAGGAATATAATAAATATATAATACATTTGTTTTAGATATATGAATAATGAATCTAACAAAAGTTGCTCAAGACACATGGAGAAAGCACTAGTGCATAGCATTAAAGAGGATCTAAGTAAACAAAAAGTGTGTCACCATGGATAGAAAAACTCAAAAATCCTTAAGTTGGGGATTTGTCTCGAATAAATCTGTGGTGTCAATACCATCTTCCACTCAACTTCATTAGTAGTCAGAGGAATGAAAATGAAGGCCACAGTGAGACACCATTTTACACTTCCAGATTGGCAATAATCAAAATCTTGGGTAATATTAAACGTAAGTGAGAATGTGAAAAAATATGGTGTAATATCGCAATTTTCTATTCTTTGGTAAAGTTGAAGATTAGTGTATCCTGTGATTCAACAGTACTCCTCCTGAACATATACCCAGGGACTCTCTCACACATGTACATTCAGAAACACAGAAAAGAATGTTCATAGAGCATAATTGGTCACAGCAAAAAAGACCTTGGAGGAACCATGAAATCTATCAACAGGAAAATGGATAAATAATTTATGATACATTTTTATAATGGAATAGCATATAGCTATAAAATGAATAAATGACAGCAACCTAGGACAATTTGGGTAAGTCTTAGAAACAATATTGTATGAAAAATCAAATTGTGAAAGAGTATAACCAGAATGATATTAATTTTATGAAGCACAGTACCAAGCAAAACTATACAATAAAGAACCTAAAGATACCTATATATTCTTCATTAAACAGTATTTTTAAAAATCTAGAAAATGATAAACACAACATTCTGGAGAGATTAATCTCTCAGAGCAAGGCAGAGGGAGGGGAGAGGAAGGAACAGACAGTAAGATGCAGAGGTAATGGTCTGGCTCTTTAATCGTGAGGTAGGTGCATGGGTATTTGTTTTGTTAGTAGGAAGGTCAGACTCTGAGTTTTTCCTTAAGTCCTGGTTTATGCCCACTATCTTAGTACAATTATAATAGCATCACATTTCACTCTCAAAGGTTTGGCAAAGGTCCTTATTCAAAACCTACATATACTATGGAGAATTTGATGTTTATTGAAGATTGCATAATTAAGAAGTAACTAAAACAAATATTAAAGCCAGCAAGGTTGTGTTGATAGACATTGTAACGGTTTCATGCATTCTAGCAATTAGCAATTCTAGCTTTAAAAATTTACCCCAATTTTGATCCATTAATTCTACTTTAAGGAACATAGTTCAAGGAAATGATTGAACAAAAGTATATGGATGGATATTTAAGGATGCTCGCTACCGAATTATTTGAAATCGAAGGTCAAAACAACAAGTGAAAGACAGGAAACGACCAAAATTGGCACACATCTGACACAATGGTAACCAAGCAGAAGGGTGTTCACCAGGAAATGAGAGTTCCTTTCTCATTACCACCTCGCCTGACTTTCAGTAAGCAAATGGGTGTGGATACCTGCTTCTAGGGAAAGAAGAAAGCTGAAGATTGGAAGCAGACATGGTCAGTGGCTGCAGCCCATCTGTGCAAGAACTTTTGCAATTAAAGAACAGGGTTACCTTGTGTATTAGCTCATTCTCATGCTGCTGATAAAGACATACCCGAGACTGGGTAATTTATAGAGGAAAGAGGTTTAATTGACTCACAGTTCAGGATGGCTGGGGAGGCCGCAGGAAACTTATCATTATGGCAGAAGGGGAAGCAAACACGTCCTTCTTCACATGGCAACAGCAAGAAGTGCAGAGCAAAGGCAGGGAAAAGCTACTTATGAAAGCATCAGATCTTGTGAGAACTCAGTATCACAAGAACAGCATGGAGGTAACCACCCCCATGATTCAATTACCTCCCACCAAGTCCCTTCCATGGCACATGGGGATTATGTGAACTACAATACAAGATGAGATTTGGGTGGGGACACAGCCAAACCATATCACCTCGGCCCATAGTTAGCAGAAGATATGAGTTAAAATAAGAATATGTGTGCATTTAGGGGGAGTCTAGAGGGAATCTTACACATAAATATAACCCAATTTTACCATAAATACATATGTATATGTTGCTGTTTTAATACTCTTTCCTGATTATAAAAATTCTCTCTTAGCTTTTACATACACCTGGCTTCATTTCTTTCCCTATCTCTGTATGGCTATGCACACTTCTGTTGCTAACCCAAGAATAATACTGTGGTTCTAAATTTTCCCAAATATGTCCAGGTCATGGTAAAAAGTATAAAGTCCATTAAGTACTAATGTAAATTTCATTATTAACATAATCAGTCTTGAAATAATGAAATCACCAAAACCTAAGGGCAACTTTCATCCTCAATTTTTTTCCAATGCCTCATAGGAGCCAAGGAGCTGGTGAGCAACTGAATGGACTTTGGGAAAGCCATGGACAAAAGCCATGTTTGAAATACATAGGGTTAAAGCCCAGGAGACCTGGCCCAGGGGCTCCCAGCCAAGGAAACCAAGGCATGGTTTTCTGTGAGCCCAGCTCAAAGGGAGGCTGGAGGACAGAACAGCTCTTTCAATCTGGACATCTGATTTCATCCACATTTGGCCACCTGAAGGCTGTGTGAAATTAGGAAACTACGGCCCATACAGTATTTTCCTCACTGTTGAAAAGAGGACCTTCATTCTCAGCCCCATTGAGTTTGAAGAACAGCAAAAATACCAAGCCACCCAGAGGCCTTGTTTCTTTATCTCAACCGTGAGTAAAGGAGGTCCTGATATCTGGTCATCTTATATCATGCAGGAAGCATCTTGAGAACACTACCAAATATTGGGGGTCTCACAACCCCACCTCATTTTCTCAGGAGTAATAAACATGTTTCTTGGCTTCTCTGCCTAGGAAATGAGCCTCAAGTCAATGACAAATTCTCAATTTGGATGTGATTCAGCTCTGGAATCACAAGAATTAAATATAGACAACAATTTACTTTGTATTAAAAAGTTATTGTGGCACTATTCACAATAGCAAAGACTTGGAACCAACCCAAATGTCCATCAATGATAGCCTGGATTAAGTAAATGTGGCACATATACACCATGGAATACTATGCAGCCATAAAAAGGATGAGTTTATGTCCTTTGTAGGGACATGGATGAAGCCGGAAACCATCATTTTCAGCAAACTATCACAGGGACAGAGAACCGAGCACTGCATGTTCTCACTCATGGGTGGGAATTGAACAATGAGAACACTTGGACACAGGAGGGGGAACATCTCACACCGGGCAGGGCCTGTTGTCGGGGAGGGATAGCATTAGGAGATATACCTAATATAAATGACGAGTTGATGGGTGCAGCACACCAACATGGCACATGTATACATATGTAATAAACCTGCACGTTGTGCACATGTACCGTAGGACTTTAAGTATAATAAAAATAAAAAGTGTCATCTTATAGGTAAAAATTCTGAAAATGCACCTACATGAAAAATCTCTTCTTACTTACACAATCTCAAAGACCTATCTACTTGGTTAATAGTCACACCAGGATATATTGTTTACTAAGTAGTAAGACTTGGGATGGAAAAGAAGAAACAAATGTTGGAGAGAGAAACAGTCTTGGGGTTAAGTGAGGCTTTTGAAAAAGAAATTCAGAGTCAGCTGTAAGGTAGTGATTAAGAGCATAGACTCAGGGGCCAGATGACTTTGACCCTAGACCTGACCTTTGTCTTTGTTTCTTCATTTGTAAAAGAGAGATGAAAATGTGTTCATAGGGTTGTTATGAGGATAAAGTGAATTAATTGTTCTGAACATTGACTAACACATAGTAAATTTAAGTGTGTGTTGTCAATGCTATTGTTGTTGTTTTTTGCAATGTTGATTTACAAAAATGAGCTCAATTTTGAGTGACCTATAAGATGAATGCTACAAATCTATACTGGGAGATATAATGGATGACTTAAATAAATGGAGACTTATCACAGGTTCCTGAATGGACAGGCATAGGGTCCCTGGTAGATCAGCACAGGGCTTCTCTCTGAAAAGTGAGAAAATGGATGAAGCCCTAGGATCTAAACTGAAAACCGTGAGAAACTCTTGAGGAGACAGAGGCAGCGGGGCATCAGTGTGCGTGGTAGGAATTGGCAGCCAGGAGCAGAAGAGGCCGGGCACCCTGCACCAGGTTCAGGCTTGTGGGAAGCCCTCTACTAGACCTACTCTCACCCCACTTGCCTGGATGAAGCAAAAGAATAGCAGGGCAGCCCAATGCTAGGTGGAGGTGACGTGTTCACAGCAGGTAGACACCAGAGTAGAGGAGACCAATACCAACAAGTGAAAGCCAACCGGCCAGCCCCTGAGCCTTTTCTGACACTGCCTCCATCTTGCCACACTCTCAGGGCACGCATGTCCACAGTGTTGCTGTGAAGAAATAATAACTGAGAGCAGGGCCACGTGGAGTTTCTGAGCAGCCCCATGAAAAGAGATAAACTTTAAGGCTTAGGGGGTGGGCTTAGGTGTCCAAATAAGAAGTGTCTGAACCCAGATCCTAAAACCAGAGGAATGACACTCAACATGCTCTCAACTCCCTTAACAAGGCACCCGTGGAGCCGGGACAGTGCTGGTCCTCCAGTGCTGGTCACCAACCAGCATAGCTGATGGTCCTAAAATAATATGAGTTCACACGGAAGGTAACGGGGCATCTGAAGTGAAAAGTGAAAAACTAAACAGATGATGATGAATTACAGTTAATGGAACGGGGAGTAAAACAATTAATTTAATGTAAGCACACAAAAATATGCAGGGATAAGAGAGACTGTTGGAAACATTGAGCAGGAATGAGCAGTCATAAAAAATAATTAAAATAGAGTCACTGAGTATGAAAGTATGTAAATAAGGAACACAATGGAGGAGATAAAAGAAAGAACATAGCAGAAAATTCATTACTGAGTTCTCAAATTTCAGGTTTTCCTGAAATCTCTCAGAAAACACCAGAAAGAAGAATAAGAGAATGGAAACAATAAAATAAATATCAAGAATAGGGTGGATCACGAGGTCAGGAGTTTGAGACCAGCCCGGCCAACAGGGTGAAACCCTGTCTCTACTAAAGATACAAAAAATTAGCCGGTCGTGGTGGCACATGCCTGTAATCCCAGCTACTCGGGAGGCTGAGGCAGGAGAATCGCTTGAACCTGGGAGGCGGAGGTTGCAGTGAGTGAAGATTGAGCCACTGCACTCCAGCCTGAGGAACAGGCTGAGACTCTGTCTCAAAAAAAAAAAAAAAGAAGAAGAAGCTTGGAGAAAAAGTGTCAACATTGAAATACATGGAGAATTGGAAAAAGAGAAAAAAATTAAGAGTGTGAAGGATATTTGAATAAATAATAAATTGAATTTCTCATAGAAATGGCTCAAAGAATGTTGAAAAGGATATATAAGGAAGGAAAACATCTATGTGTGTTTTACTAAAATTTAATACCATCACAGAAAAAAAAAGAACATTGTAAGACTTTTAAGAGAGAAAATGAACATCACTGACAAGGGAAAATGAATCAGACTAGACCCCGTATCTCAAATGAAACAATGGATGTGTCCATAAAATGGAGAGTTAAAGTAAAAGAACTTAAAACCGAAACTTTTATATCCAGCCAAACTCTTATTTAAAGGCAAAGACAAAATATAGTCTCAGTCATGCAAAATGTCAGAATCTCTTTGAAAGGACTCAGAAGAAATACTTTTACCAGAAAAGAGAAATTTAAGAAACCAAAGAAAGGCACTAGAAATTAGTGTTAAAACAAGAACAAAAACAAAAATTTCAAGTCTATTGCCCAAATGTGGAATTAACAAATGCGCAAAGTTCATGTGTTTTTTTAATAAAATCCCTCTTTTCCCCATTTTCATATTCCCCACTGTTTTCACTTTTTAAATAATTATGGACATACACATACACATATTTTAAGAATTAAAATTCTATATGATATTAAATGGAGGTGAAGATAGGATGTCAGATGGAAGTTAACTTATGCTAACAAAATTATCTTATTCCAATAAAGATACAGATATTGCAAAACTCAAGAAATTAATGGGGAGAAAAACATCTGGATGGATTATAATAGGCTAGGGATAAGCATCAGAATCATAAAAATGGGCTGCTTAAGTTTCAAACGAACAAAAGAAAACTCAGCCTGTCCAAGGAAACCTAAGAAAAGAGAAAAAGAACAAATGACAAAAAGCATACTAAAGGGAAAAATAAAAGAATACTACAAAAATAAATTATGAAATAATTACAAAATAAGTAAAATAAATATGAATGGAAAGAATATTTTTGTGTCTTTGGAGTAGACAAAGAATTCCTAAGTAAGATCTAAAATACATAACAGAGAAAACTGATAAATTGCACCTCATTAAAATTAAGAAATTTTGTGCATCAAGAAACATCATTAAGAGTAAAAATACAACCTAGAGTGGGAGAAGGCATTTATAATGCATGTATTTGACCCAGGCCTCATCTCCAGAATATACATGTATAGGGAGACTATAGCAAATATTCCCTGGAATCAATAAAACAAGACAAGCAACTCAATAGAAAAATGGGCAGAGCACTTGAGGAGGCACTTCACACACACACACACACACACACACACACACACACACACAAAGACATCCAAATGACCAAAAAATATATGAAAAGGTGCTCAATTACATTTTTTAGCAGGGAAATGCAAATTAAAATTACAATATGATGCTGCTGTATACCTACCAGAAGAGCTAAAAGGATAAAAACAGAAAATTCCAATGGTTGGTGAAAATATCAAGCAAACAGATCCCTCATATACTGCTGGTAGGAGGGTAAATTGGTACACTCACTAAAATATTTGGCAATATCAATGAAGGTTAAATACGCACACACACACCCACACACACACACACACACACACACACACACTCTGACCCAGCAATTCCACTTCTATGCATATACCCAAGAGAAATACGTGCATGTGTATGTTCACCAGAAGAAAGGTATTAGAATGTTCATAGCCCAAACAGAAATAGCAAAAATCTGGAAACCATCACAATGCCTAATAATTAAGTAGGTAAACAATTATATATTTACACAATCGAATTCTATACAGTAATAAACAGGCACAACCAACATCTTTATACAACAACATAGGTGGGTCTCACTAATATAATACTGTATAAGCAAAAGAAGTCAGATATGTTACATAAAGTACAAAAGGAGGTCAAATTAATTTCTGCACTGAAAAGCCAGGATAGGATTTCTGCTGGGGTGGGAGTGATTGAGAGGGAGCACAGGGGATCTGGGTTGCTGGTAATGAACTGGGAGCTTTACACAGTGTACTCTTTTGTGAAAATTCTTCTGATATGTACCCGTATGTATACATTCCCTGCATGTATATTGAATATACATTCCCTGCATGTGTACTGAACTTCAATAAAAATTGAAGTATGTAAATGGAGACACCTCATAATTATAAAACTATTAAAAATTTATAAAACAACTTATATGAAAATTTATAAAATGCCCCAATCTATTGTCTATGTGTTGTTAAACAAAGACGTATTTTTTTAAAGACATTCATAAAAGATGACGATAAGGAACAAAAAATGTAACAGACACATATAAAAACAAGGTGGCAATTTTAATATGGGATAAAACACAATTTAAGGTGCATATGACATGGGAAAGATGAATATTATACATACTGAATATTATATATATGAATATTATACATACATAAGTAAAGAAAATATAATGATCAGGCACATTTAGTCACCTAAAAAGTAATCTCAAACACATAAGGCAATAACTGAAAGAACCACAGGGAGAAATAAACAGGTTTAGCTGGACAATGTCATACATCTATTTCTGAAACTGAGAGATCAAGCAGACAAAATAAGCAGGAGTTAGACAATTTAAATAACACTATAAATAAAGTCATACTAATGCATTTATACTCAACAAAGAGAGAATACAAGTTATATGACACATCATTTCCTCTTAAATCTCATTGGCAAGAACTTTGTAATATAACTGTGCCTAACTGCAAAGAAGTTGGGAAATGTTATCTTTCACTCACGTGTCCTATGTAAAGCTGAGAGATTTATTACTAAGGTTAAAAGAGGAGAAAGGAGACGCACAACAGAAATGATTAACAAAACACTGGTTATTTACAAACACTAATACAATGGACATCTAGCAAGACTTACAATGGGGAAAGAAGAAAAAATGTATAAATAAATAAATAAGATACCAAGAATTTAAAAAATAATTTTATAAAGATTTACAACAATAAAATTAAGAACCTTAAAGAAATGGACAAAAATTGGTAAAAATACAAAATGTCAAAATTAAAATGAGAAACAATAGATAATTTAAAGATACAAAAGCCATTAAAAATTGAAAAGGTAATCACTTTCTTCCTTTAAAAAGTCCATGTTTAGATGGGCCTTATAATTAGTCTCTACCAAATTTTACAGGAACAAATCATTCTTACACAAATTTTTACAGTAAAAAAAGTAAAACCTATTCAACTTATTTTAATAAAAGCTCATATCAGCTGGGTGTCAAAACCAGATAAGAGAAGAACAAACAAAGATATTCACATATGAACATACACATTTTTATATAAAATATTAACCAATACAATTCTACTGCTTATTTAAGAAAACTAATAAACTATACCAAAAAAAGGTTTGTTTCAGAAATTCAAGAATGGTTTGAAGTAAGAAAGTCAATCAGTGTAATTCACTATATCTGTAGATCAAAGGCAAAAAGTTATATGATTATCTGAACAGATGCAGAAAGTACATTTAATAAAGTTCAAAACCTGTTTATCGTTTTTAAAAACAAAAAGAGTTCTTGATATTGCAAAAGAAGAAATGAAATTGCTATTACTTCCAGATGAAACAATTATCTGAATAGAAATCTCGACAGCATTAATATACAATTATAAAAACTAATAAAGAAGCTAAGCCAGATATTTGAACACAAAGCAACCATATAAAGCAATAGCTTTCTTTTAAGGCATCAAAAATAAATCCAAAAATATTTTCAAATATTAAGACATCATGCTCAATAATAGCATAAATTTTATACTATCTGGAAATTTAATGAAGAATGCACAAGTCATTTATGGAGACATAAATCTCCAATGAATGACATTAAAGAATACTTGAATAAATGAAAAGAACATCACATTTATATTAGGAACAATTTAACATTCTAAAGATGATAGCTGTCTGAAATGCATAGTTTAGATATAATGACAATAAGAATTCCAGGTGAATTTTTAGGAGCTTCATATGCTGATTTTAAACCTTATACAGATAAACACAAGTTGAAGAATAGCTAAGAAGTTTTTTTAAAAAAAGAGACTGAGTGTGAGGTAGGAATGAGGGTTGTTGGTGGAAGGTACCTTGCCCTGCTGGATGCTAACCCCTACTAGGTGATGATGAGAATAATGAGATGATGATGATGATGATGATGATGATGATGATGATGATGATGATAATGATGATGATGATGATTCTTTTGTATAGTAATGTATTCTTTTCATTGCTCTTCATTCCTTCCCACATCTCAAAACTTCCATCTGCGAGCATTTTCCTTCTTCCTGAAGAATACCTTTGTATATTTTCCAATGTGAGTCTGAAGCAGACAAATTCTGCTTTTTTTCTGAAAAAGCCTTTATCACTTTCATTTGCATGGGATATTTTTTGCTAGATAGCAGCAGAATTAAATAGAGGCAATAATTTTTCTTTATCACTTTAAAAATATTGTTTTATTGTCTTTTTTGTTTATGGGGACACCTCATAATTATAAAACTATTAAAAATTTATAAAACAACTTATATGAAAATTTATAAAATGCCTCAATCTGTTGTCTATGTGTTGTTAAACAAAGACATATTTTTTAAAAACAGCTGTCTGCAGTAGAAGATCCAGGTATTGTGTAGTCTAAAGATTACAAAATGTGGGAAAGCTAATTTAAGAAAAAGAACATAAAATTTGGTTCAAAAGTGAATATTTATTTAGAATGAGAGAATAAATCACAAAAAAACACAAATTTATAAAAAGCTAAAAATAATACAAATATCAAAAATCTTAAAAAGACAAAATAATATTTTATTAATTAACTGCCTAAAAAGACTAGAATACATTTTCCTCCATTTTTTTGCTACATATTCTTTTGTGTGTCTTCATATAACCATCTTTTATAAAGAGTAGGAAAGTTCTTCTAACATGATTGGAATTTATTTTTTGTTACTGATTGTTTATAGAAGTTTCTTCAGTGCCACTCTTACTGGTAATGTAGAAAAAAAATGTTTATGATCGTTGCCAAAATTGGGGAAACCCTTATCAAGTTTCTCTCGCATATTAGACATAAGATGTGGAAGAATTTTCCATTGACTAGATTCTGCTCCTGTATGTTCCAAACCTTGTGTTTGCTCATTCCTTTGCTTGTTTTTCTCTACTATCCACATTCTTCCACTGCCAACCACCACGAGGCACATGCAGACTTTGATGCAACCTTTGACTTTATATCTCTGTGTGGTACTGAGAACTGTTTCTAAACCATAATGATATATGTGAAAGTAACCAAGAACCACACAACTATATCCCATTAAACAAAAACTAAGTAAATCCCCAACTCACCTTCACCTCTGCCTGATTCCCAAAATTCCTAGAACTTCTCTAACACCAACCATCACAGTGATTAGTACATGCAGGGAACTTGGAATGGAAAAGGAGTGGTCTTAACAGTTAGAGTTAAAATTTCTTACTAGCAAATTTTATGAGAGCTTTTGACCACGTTAGGAAATGCCCAAGAAGATCCCATGTAAGTGAAGAACACTGAAGTTTAAGCCTCATTACTGTCACCAAAATATATCTCTGGCAGCCTATCTTATTTTTGCCCCTTTGTAGATTTTTTTTTTCTTTTTCTGTCTACCTTTAATCTTTTTACTTGTCTTTCATTTTCACCAATTTTACTCTGATGTGCTCAAGTATAATTTTCTTTTGATTTATCCTGCTTGGAGTTTTCAGGACTTCTTAAACAAGCAACTTGATTTGTTTTGTTAGTTAAAGAAAATCCTCAGCCATTATCTCTTAAAATATCGTTTCTGTTTAATACTCTCTATCCTCTCCTTCTGGTACTCTACAATTTTCACTTAATCGAAATTTATCACAAGAATGATTTTCTTAATTCTTTTTTATACTTTCCAGTTCTCTGCCAATGTTCACAGTTTTATCTTTTATTTCTTTGAGCAAAGTAAGCATAGTTCTTTGAAAGTATATATTCTGGTTTCTGAATCAACTATGGGTCTGTTTTTATTGCCTGCTGTTCCCTCTTTTTTTTTTTGCATATGTTTGTGTGTTTGTGTGTATGTATGTTCTGAAACACACCACAGAAAATTCTGTGTCTTCTCTTATGCCTGGTCATTATTTTTTAATGACTCTGACATTGTAAATGAAAAATTATCAAATTACTTTAACCTTGGGACAATGTTGTCTTCCTTCAAATGGATTCATGTTGCTTTTGACAGTCTTCTACATTTCCCTAGCAAAACTGCAACCCCTAAATCCAGTTTCCGAGATGATTATGAATTAAAGCTGGATTTCAGACCATTCAAGGACGAGTTTGTTTCTGGTTGACCATTCTCCTAGGGATTAGTCCTTCCGCATCCTGACCCAAAGCTGGGAGGGTTACCAGGGTTCCTCTTCCTTGGCGGGTTCTGAGTTCTAGCCCTCAAAGCTGTTTGCAGCTTTACTCACTTCTCAGCTTCTCAGTCACCTCTTGTGGAATTGAAAGATGCCTCTAGAAGAAAAACTTTTAAAAGTCCAAGTTCATTTTTCAGTTTTACCTCCTGACCTTATTCTCATAACTCTTCACTGCCTTGTTATCTCTCTGCTACCTTCAAACAGATGTTTTAAAATATATATTTTATCTATTTTTTCTAGGCATTCCTAATGGGAATAATTAAGGTCTAAATTATCTTGTCTATATTTTTGGAAGTCCAAGTCCCCCAAAGCCAAACTTGTTTCAGTGTACTATGATATTTGTAACTATGGTGACACCTTCAAAGCTCTCTATTCAAGGAGATGAAAAACCTCAAACAGATGGATTTCATGGAATTACTAACCAGCTGCTGACTACTCAAAATCTCCTAATTATCTATATTAGTGTGGATTGATAAAGTCATTGAACTCTTTCAGTACAGAAATCCAGGCCACGATCCCTAAGCAATCTTCTGTTGGCAAGAACTTCTCTAACCCATATTTCTATCTAAGCTAAGATTCTCAAAGCCAAGCAAAGCTTGGGATGCACATCCACACCTAAATTCATCATCCAAGTCTTTGCCCCACTCCCCCCATGTGCAATGCTTCTGCTCCCAAGAGATTCCAGACCCTGAGCATCTGCCCAGTGTCAGTCTGTCCCCACACATCCTAGACATGCTTACTTAAGGGGATCTCAGCCCACATCCTTCCTCCCTCTCCTTGAGCTCCCTCCCCACCTGTTAGTTGCAGCTCAGGATATATACGTTTAATTAATTTGGCTTTACTTCCAACCGGTAAATAGTGGGAGAAGTGTCAGATTTACATGGTGGATAAATAATGAGGGATTTCCCAAGAGATTCTGTCTTGGTGAAAGAGGGTAACTATAATTTTCAGCTGTGAGTAATTGTACATAATATAATCCTAAATGATTTTTCTTCTGTAATTTCATTAGAGTTTAGAAATTTAATTAGATTTTGAATCACTCTGAAATAAAGTAGCAAAACACCGAGAGACTGAGAGCAGTGGTTATTTTGTCCTTTGAGGCCACATTCTTGGTCTCAAATTGGCATGTCTTCATTAGGAGGAAGTTTACAGAACTTCTTGATATATTATTGTCTTTCAGAATGGACTCTGAATAGGTCTTCGGAGAGCATTAGAAGAGTACACAATTATTATGCACGCTCTTCTTGAGGTTTAAGATCATCTGCCTTGCATATACTTAATAAAAATATGTCTCTAAAGTTGTTTAAGAAACTGTGGAGATAGGAAAGATGTTCCTTGAATGCCCCAATGCTGTTCCTGGATTATTAGCAACTACCTGTACATTATGATGCAGTGAGGGGCTGTTTGCTTAACTTTAATGATTATGTAAGGTTTATGGTTATTTTTATTGCTACAACATATGAACTGTCATGGTGGCTGTAATTAGAGGCAAGCTAAAATGTTACTGTTACTGTCCTCTGGGAGAAACGACTTCCTTCGTATCAACTTTGCCTCTGTGCAAAAGTTGGCAAAAAAAAAAAAAAAAAAAAAAAAAAAAAACTGTATGAACTGTTCTTACCTCAAAACAGGTTATGACAGAGAAAAAAATGAAAATAACATTAGAACTTCAGACCAACAGCTTGCACCTAACGAAGCTGCAAAAAAAACCAATCTTCTGTTCCCTGAATTGTTTGCATTTATTTAATTCTCTGAAGGGCCATTGCCCAGATCTTTTCCCAAAGACCACCCAAGTGGCACAGGGATGGCGGAAATGCTCTATGTCTCCAGCACCGTGCTGCTGCCTCTACTTAGGCATCTTCTCTGCATCCCAGGCAGGAGGCTGAGAAACTCAGGACTGATTGGGATGTATGGAGAAAAGAGCTCAGAGGCTCAGGCAACCTGTACAGGAGATCCTGGGCTACAGAGAAAAAAGACAGAAGCAGCAGGAGATGAAATAGGTCAGACAATCTGACTACATGGTCTGTCTGAAGAGGGCTGGCATGGATAGGAAGCTGAAGACACAGTTATCAGCTCAGGAGATCTGAGCATCTTGTGGCCTGAATATGAGGATCCGTGCTGGGCAGCGGGCAAGAGGAGAGGGATTCTGGAAAAAGGAGAAGCGTGGGAGGTGCTCCTGGGAACACTGGAATTAGGGAATGGGATCCTGGCCCCAGGGGGAGCCTAGCCACAGGCGTCTCCACAAGGGCTGTCCAGAAAGACACCATACATGGCACACAACTCCCCCCACCCCACACGTCATGTTGTGTTGTCATCCATCTTCTCCTCTGGACCGAGAGTTCTCCAAGGAGCAGGGATGTGTCCGATTCATTTTTGTTTCTGCTGCACACACAGCAGTGCCTGGTATACAGCAGAGACTCAATAACTGTTAAATAAATGAATGATTGAATGAATCAGAAAATAGCAGAGAAGCCAAAGCCTACGCTGCAAGGTGGAATCTTAGGGAGGCCCACAGACTGTCACACTGAGAGGGCCAGTTGGTAATTTTTAACAAGAGTTTTAAAAATAACTGTGCTCTTTGATATGTGAACTATATTTCTGTAGGTATTTTATAAAAACGTAACCTCAAATATGGAAAATAACCCTATGTACAAACGTCCTTACAATAGTGAAAAGTCAGAAATGACTCAGATGTTCAAAGAGGAGCATTCCAACTCACTTGACAGGATATAGAGCAACTAATAAGGTAATTTTTACAAAGTAATAACATGGAGAAGCCCATTTGGGGGGAAGACAGTGTACAAAATTTGTTTACACAGCAAGCTCACAAAAATACATGGCGAAGAAAAAGGCTGCAATGAAATATAATAAAATGACAATAATAGCTGTATCTGGGCTGTATGCCTAGGAGAGGATCAATGTCTCCTCCTCTCAATTTTCTGTATTTTTCAAACTTTTATTAACGTCACAGCAGTGATCCCACTTCTAAAAGAGCCCTCAGCCCTGGTCCAGCTCAGTCACTACTCAATGCCTGCCCCTGGCAGGACGTGCCATCTGACGGGTCAGATGGCCCCAGGTGGGGCTTTTCCAGGAGAACCATCCCTGCGTTCAGCCCTGCAGTGACTTCTGCCCACGGAAACCTAAATCCAACCTCGGTGGAAATGTGCAGCAGCTGTATGTAAGTCATGGAGCTGCACTAAGCTCCGTGTATTTGTCCCTTGCTTTCGAGATTTTATTTCATTTTATTTTATGCAAGCTCCATTTGTGCCAAACTTCTGCCTTAGGTCCCAATCGGGACAATTATCTTCCACGTATCTACATCCTCTGTCATTTCCACTGGAATTTAGTCCTGTCACATCCTGCTCTGAGCTTTGCCTGCTTCTGAGCAGTTGGGAAGGGCTTTCTCAAGGGTCAAACATTATCCTCTAGCATGGCCTTTGTGGTACAGGCGTGGCTTTATCCTTTGCTCTCCCCAGAGATTTGTCTGGCAGATCACCTGTGCTCTAAGCTGTGGGGCCTATTCTCGGTCATCTTCGCTGCAAGAAGCCTAGAGACATGAGCAGCTCGTGCCGGGGGAGCTGATGCACAGAACGAGCTCTTGAGTGGATCATGAGCTCTAATTAAAGTTGGGGGTGGGAGGGATGCTAAGGGAGGAAGCAGAGCCCAGGATCAAAAATAGACAGGCAGGAGAGAGCGAGCAGTGTTTGCTTAGTGGAGGAGCAGCTGTGGAAAAAACAGAGGATGCTTAGCTCTGTCCTAAGCTACTGGGGCTGAGATTCTAGAGGGGTCCTGGGCTTTGGAGCAGAGAATAATGGCTTTGGGTCCTGGCTGTATCCCTTACCAGCTGTGCCTAGGAGCAGGGCTCGTGGTGGCCTCTTGGTGCATGGTTAGGACTTTAGTAGGGCTCTTAGTGCATGGTTAGGACCTCCACCCAGAAGCCAGCCTGCCTGGGTCCCAGACTCTGTGTTCCCATTTATACACAGTGTCACCTTGGGCCTGTCACATAACTTCCTTGGGCCTCAGTTTCTTCATCTGTAGGATCAGATTAATGAGAACAGTAAGATGTGCCTGGCACTGAATGAGCGGGCACCTGCAAGGTGGCACGGCCCATGTGTGCCACAGGCGGAGTGTTTGCTATTGGATCTAGTACAGTGTTTGGCACACACAGGAACACCTCACCCTAACTCTCCCAGCCTCAGTCCTCCCTGACTTCCTGGGTGCATCGGAAGCAGACCTCATCTGTAGTTCCGTCCTTCTGAGTCCTCCTGGCCCCAAATCCAGCTGTCCCTGCTCTCGGCTTCTCAAGTGGAATGGTTCTAGATCTGTGGTGGCCTTCTTGGAGCTGTCCGGCCTAGCTCTCATCTCCTATACCCCTACACCCCTCATCAAGTGAAAAAGGGGTTTCATGGACCCCCTGCACCAGGGTTGGCTACAGCCTGGGCACTAACAGCCTTCTCTCCAGACACAGACAGCAGAATGCTGGTCTCAGCTACTCTGCATCCTCACCTGGCCTTGCTTTCCCCCAACCCCACTCCTGGGCCCTGTAGTCAAGCAGCACATGGGGCTTACAGCTGGCTCTCAGGCTGCATGGGAGCAGAGCCCCCTCACTGGCTCTTCCTTTGTTCCCTCCATCTCTCCCATCCTTGCCCCCAGTGACAGCACAGCAGGCACACAGTGGGCAGGACACATTCCGCCACTCCACTATGTCCTGGCCCATGCAGCTGCAAAGCCAGGTAAGGTGTGGAATCCAGGATTATGGACCCCCAAAAAGAGCCATGATGAAGCCAGGGCTCTTCCTGCTAGAGCTGCCGGAGTGGAAGTCCACGAGTGGACATTCCAGGAAAACTTGGCCCTCAGGCCTCTGCCTCCTTCCCAAGGCTTTCACAGGAACAAACAGGGAATTCTTCATTCTTCAGCCTGGGCAAGGAAGCCCTTCTCCTTGGGACCCCACACTCACATTGTCTTTGCTGCTCTCCAGAAGCATTATTTATTTTATTTTATTTTATTTTATTTTATTTTATTTTATTTTATTTTATTTTATTTTATATGGCGTTTCACTCTTGTCACCCAGGCTGGAATGCAATGGCGCAATCTCAGCTCACTGTAACCTCTGCCTCCCAAGTTCAAGCGATTCTCCTGCCTCAGCCTCCCAAGTAGCTGAAGCTATAGGTGCCTGCCACCACTCCTGGCTAATTTTTGTATTTTTAGTAGAGAGGGTGTTTCACCATGTTGGCCAGGCCGGTCTCGAACTCCTGGCCTCAGGTGATCTACCCGCCTTGGCCTCCCAAAGTGCTGGGATTACAGGGGTGAGCCACCATGCCTGGCCAGAAACATCATTTATAATGGTAGCCACTAAAAACGTACAGATGAGCAAATAAGCAGATGTTGGGAACAACCTGATTCACCTTTTCTGAAAATCTATTTTCCCATTAGGAAGAAAATTGATAACAGTTCCAAGATGGACTTAATAGAAGCCACTGCATTGAATAATTTTATCTGATCATTTTTTTTCAGCATATACAAAATTACACAAAAGAAAAAAGAAATCTATTATATAGCTCCGTGTACAAAGGGCTTGCAGCTAGGGTCAGATCTTATTGCTTTTGGCCAAAAGCCCATGATAGAATTTAGACTAAAGAGTGTATAAGCTGTGTTCCTCAGAGTGGTTCAGGGTTACTTGGGACCGCACTAGAAAGATCTTTAGCATTTCAAAGCCTGTTCATAAAAGGAGTCACCATAGTACCCACCATATTGATTTATCCGGGCTGTCTAAAAATCCCTTTAGCTCTGATGTTTTGAAGAACCACTGCATACAAAGAGTGGATCCAAAAGTGAAGAGTCTGTCTGTATCAGCAGTTAGGAACCAGCCTTCTGTGGGATTGATTTCCCTGAGTGCTACTCAGAGTAACAAGGGATTCTGGGTGTGGATCTAGGACAAGAGACAATATGGGAATTCCACTGCTTTCAGGATGGAGGTAACATCTATCCTGGCCTCTAACGTTGAGTTGGGTTGGGGAAAAAATCTTTTGATAGTTCAAACATGTTCCATCCTTCACCTTCAAAAGCATTTCCCCTTGCAACTGGTTTCTGTGGTGTCTCAAAACCATGAGTGCCTTCTCTGTGTTCCATCGCCCATGGGCCTGCTGACTCCCCAAGAAAATGATTTTCATGAAAACCCCTCAAGGGAGAATGCACATGCTAGTAGGTCAGAGAAGAACTAGAGTGTGACCAGGTCCACTGGCCTGGAGCAGGTGAGGCCTGGGGTTAGGAAAGGACCTGCCCGTATCACACCATCAATGGCGGCCTGGCTCTGGTTGCTCTTCTCTTAGCCCCATGCCTTGTCAGCCCCATGTCAGGGTGACTTCTGCTTCTCTTCCGAGGAGGCCAATTTTTTCCTTTCAAAAGTGAATTTGATTTGAGAAAAGAGTAAAAGTTCACTTAGAGCCAAGTCTAGAAAAGTAGGTGAGCAGTCATGGGTGAAAGCCAATGAGGTTAAAGGAGTATCAGACCAGGCATGGTGGCTCACACCTATAACCCCAGCGCTATGGGAGACCAAGGTGGGAATACTGCTTGAGACCAGGAGTTTGGAACCAGCCTAGGCAACATAAAGAGACCCTGTCTCTAAAAAATCTTAATAATTGGCTGGGCATGGTGGCACAGACCTGTAAACCCAGATACTCCAGAGGTTGAGGTGGGAGGATCATTCAAGCTCAGGAGTTTAAAGTTACAGTGATCCTATGATTTCCTTATGACCAGCTTATTCCCCTGAATTTCATTTCTGTAGAGGCCACGCTTGAAAACTAGTCTGTGATGTATCTGAAAGAACCAATGTGAAATAGTTCTCAGGTTTGTCACCCGCCCATCCTGTCTGT
Organism: Homo sapiens; assembly: GCF_000001405.40. Taxonomy (NCBI): domain Eukaryota; kingdom Metazoa; phylum Chordata; class Mammalia; order Primates; family Hominidae; genus Homo; species Homo sapiens. The sequence continues at coordinate 49,211,566 of NC_000010.11, forward strand.
CTCTCAGGATGCGCCGTGTGGCAAGGTACTGCTCTCTCATCCTTCTCTCCTTCCCATGCATGGTTCTCACCCCACCTCTGTTCATTTTCTCTCTTGAAACAGTACACACTTAAAGAAAAACACAAGTTCAATTTGATATGCTGTTACAGACAGAGACTCGCTTACCAGATCTTTGCTCTCTAGTCTCTTTTCACCAGAGTTAGCAAATATCTAATTCCCAGAGACGCAAACCAACAATTTGAGAACGGAAACCAATCTTTGTTTCACCTCTTCAATTGATCAAATACTTGCCGAGGTCATGGAAAGAAGGCACTGAAATTAAATCAAACAGCCCCAGCTGGAATCCTGGCCTTGTCAACATCTCATGGAGAGCCAGACAGAAGGAAGGGTCCCAGGATGGAATGGAGGGAGTGGAGGAAAGGAGGGAGTGGAGGAAAGGATGTTGACTTTCCACTGAGTGACAGGCACTGAGCTGGGCACCTTCACATGCTCTGCTGCGTGGTACCTGCTGTAAGTGTCTCACTCCAGATCAGCATGGCACCTCCAGTTTGAGCCACAGCAAGTGGACAGTTTCTAGCACACATGCTAACATATCCCAAGGTACAAGCCTTCGGTCTCTTTGCTTCTCTGCTTCTGAGCTTTCTCTGAAAGCACAGCATCTCACTCAGCTCATGTGCTGCCTGGAAATATGGGAAGCTGTGGCTTCCTAGAGCCAGTAGACACACACTCCAAACTTGTGGGTTTTAAACAGACAATTCTGGGTGACTCTTCTCAGAGGTTCCTGCAGAGCTGAGTCTCTACCATCTACAGAAGCTGTCTTGCTAATACATATCTCACAGGCTTTTTCCTGCCTCCCTCTCCCTACTCCCTCACTCCTGCCTCCTGGCATCATCTCCAAGGCTCTGCTTGGGGGGGAAGCGCAAATAAAAGCAACTCCAACAAAAACAGGAAGAACTCTGCAATCTATATTCTTAGCGGTCTTCTCAGAAAGGTGAATGCTCGAGAATCGCTTGAACCCAGGAGGTGGAGGTTGCAGTGAGCCGAGATCATGCCACTGCACTCCAGCCTGGGTGACAGAGTGAGACTCCATTGAAAGAAAGGGAGGGAGGGAGGGAGGGAGGGAGGGAGGAAGGAAGGAAGGAAGGAAGGAAGGAAGGAAGGAAGGAAGGAAGGAAGAAAGAAAGAAAGAAAGAAAGAAAGAAAGAAAGAAAGAAAGAAAGAAAGAAACAAAGAAAGAAAGAAAGAAAGAGAAAGAAAGAAAAAAGGAGGGAGAGAGGGAGGGAAGAAGGAAGGAAGGAAGGAAGGAAGAAAGAAAGAAAGAAAGAAAGAAAGGAGAATGCTGTCTAATAAAAGCCCATTTTGTCTGCTGAGCCCCCAAATGATTTGGATGTGAATTCTGGGGAGAAAAATTTGAAGTCCCTGTGTTATCTGGTGCAGATGGGAGGAGGGAGGAGAAGAAACGGAGAAGTGATAAGACAATGGGGACATCAGTGGAGACAGGCCAACAATAAGCTTTGTGGAAGGCACATGGAGGGAACTTTTGAAAAAGAGGAATCAAATAAGCAATTTAAGTTCTTTACACTGTGGTGTTCTATCTAATCTCCCTAACCCCTCTCAACCACATTTGCATGTGTTTTGTGGCTTCAGAGCAGGGATTAAGTTTCACACCTGCATCAGTGCAATGCACAGAGACCCCCCCACACCCCTCACCCTGTCAAAAGAATTTAAGACCTCAAGGCAGAAGTGGTCAAGAAAATGCAAGTTCCTGGGAAATCGGAATCTGGAATCATGCAAGGTTTTCATGGCAGGGGGATGGGGTGAGCCATCTGCCCAAAGTTGGTGGGGCAATGAGCTCCTCTTCCCCACACGGCCCAGCTGAAGTCCTTCCAGTAGTGCCAGGAGGCACCAGCTGAAGATATGAGGGATGGGGTTGGGAGGGCTGCAGAATTGGTCCAGGTTAACACAGCAGGAACTAGAATCCAAATCTGGGCCCGTCTGCCTCCAAAATCTGAGCTTTTCACAATGCCATGATGCTCCAAAGTAAAAACATAATTTAAAAAGTCAGTGAAGGGATTAACCTATCAATAACATCTGTCTCCTGGGTGTTTCAAGAAGGGCAGTTGCCCTGGAATGGAGCATTATTTCCATGTTGTATTTCCAAGCATACTGGTAACAATTTGGCCACTTGGAGTGGCTCTTCGTGTTCCCTGAAATAGCTCTGGATGTCTCCTCTATTAATTGCTAGAGGGGAGAATGAGAGTTGTAGTGTCTGGTGAATGTGGAAATGAAGCCAAATGGCTGCTAAGACTATTAGTGCTGAGACAGTGAGGAGCACACACCTCTGCTCCCATGATCTTGTTTGGACTAAACAGAATCCTCTTTCTTTTGAAGTGTTTCACCAACCTGCCTGAAAAGCTGGCTCAGTGGCTGGGCCTCTCCTTGTGTGCTGCACACAGCAGCCAGAGCTGGGGGTCACTCTGCTGGCACCCAGACCCACAGAGACCCTGGCTGCTCCAGTTGGAACCATTTTCCCTTTAGGCCCCCTGCACGCTACATGATCTGTCATTATCCACGTTCACCAGCCCCACTCACAGCATGTGCTCTGAAGGCAGGGACAAGTCTCCTCACTTAGTCAACACAACAGATAACAGGTATAGAGAGCTTCTATTCCAGACACTGTTCTAATGACTTAAATATTAACTCATTTGCTCCTCAAAGGAAAAAAAGAAAAAACTCACTTAGGAAGTAGTGCTAACCACAAGCTGGCACTGTTATTACTACCCATTTTCCAGATGAGAAATTGAGGGATTGCTGCATGACCCTCCTTAGGTAACACAACTGGTAGGGGAGAGGACAGCAGAGCTGGGATGCAAACCCAGGTGATCTGATTTGGTAGCTGGATCTTAGCCACTCTTCTAGAATATCTCTAACAAGGGAGAATCAATAGTGGTGGGTAGCGCTGAGTCTGATACCTTCCCCACCAGTCTGAGCATGGTGATGATCTGGAGAAACTTTTCTTAACCCCAGTGACCTAGTCCATTCAGGTTACTGTGACACCGCACCATAGGCTGGGTGGCTTACAAGCAGACATTGATTCCTCACAGTTCTGGAGGATGGAAGTCCCAGATCAAGGCACCAGCAGGTTCAGTGTGTGATGAGGTTTCACTCTCTGATTCATATATGGTGACTTCTAGCTGTGTCCTCACATCGTATTAATAAAAGGGGGAAGAGGGCCCCCTGAGGCTTCTTCTATAAGGGCACTAATCTCATTCATGAGGCTCCACCTTCATGACCTAGTCACTTTCCAAAGGTCCCACCTCCCAATACCATTACCTTGGGGGTTAAGATTTCAACATATGCATCTTGGGGGAGACACACATTCAGATCATAGCGCCAAACCATTCCAGATCTGATATACCTGTTTACACTTTGTACTGGAACCCCAGAAGCAAGGGGGAAGCGAGTGGAGGGAGGTGAGATGTAAGCTCATCAGAGGGCCTGCTGGGACTGGTCAGCACTGATCCAAAAGATCCAAAGCCTCAGGTGCCATAGGCCATCCTTCACACCGGCTCTAGCTCAATTTTCCAATCTCTAACGTAGGAAAGAAGGATGACTCAAAAGAAGGTTAAGCGGAACAGAATAAATGCTGAGAAAACCACAGCTACACACATCAAAGTAAATCTGTGGTATATCAAAGACAAATAGAAAATATTAAAGAAGTTAGAGAGGGGAAAATGTTAGATTACCTTAAGGGTCCAACAGTAAAACCAAACATAGACTTCTCCATAAAAATAATGGAAGCCAGGGGGTAATGGAACCACATCTTCAAAGTTCTGAAGGAAAATCAACTACAGACCTAGAATTCCAGATCCAGCAAAAATAACAGCAAAATAAAGGTATTTTCAGGCAAACAAAGAGAATTTGTCACCAGCAGGCTGACAACCAAGGGAAATACTAGAAGGTTTTTTTTTTTTTTTTTTTTGTCAGAGGAAAATGATTCCAGAGAGGAGCAGAGAGACAAACAAAAAAGAATAATGAACAACAGAAAGAGGAAATATGTGAGTAAACATAAATAACTCTTGACTGTGTAAAGGAATAATAATGATGCCTTGTGGGATTTAAATAGGTGTAGAATTGAAATGCATGACAGCAAAAGCACATAAGGCAGATGGGTAAATGGAATTGAAGAATAACACCCTTACATTGTATGGAAAGTGGTAAAAATATCAGTCTACATTAGATGTTAATAAGTCAGTGATGCCTGTTGCAATCTCCAAGATAACCATTAAAATTAGTAAAATAATACATAAGAAACTTGCTAATAAAGGAGAAAGAATGGAAGAATTAAAAATAATTATAATCCAAAGGAAGCAAGAAAGAAGAGAAAATAGAACATGGATCAGGCAGAAACAGAAAAGGGTGACAAAGGGGTAATTATAAATGTAAATATCTCTGCATATGCAGTAAGTTTAAACATAATATATATTTCAATAAAATACATAGATCATTAGACTAGAGGGAGATAACTACTTACAAAAGACACACTTTGGATGATTCAGAACAGTTTAAAATAAAATGTTGAAAAAGACATAGAGGATCTCTAAATGCATATTAAGTGAAAGAAGCCAGTCTGAAAAAGCTGCCTGCATACTGTATTATTCCAGCTATATGACATTCTGGAAAAGGAAAACTATGGAAACAGTAAAAAGATCAGTGGTTGCCAAGGGCTGGGGAGAGGGAGGAATGAATAGGCAGAGCACAGAGAATTTCAAGAATTTTTAGGGCAGTGAAACTATCCTTTATGATACTATGATGGTGCCTATATGTCATTCTATATTTATCAAAACCCACAGAAGGTAAACACCAAGAATGCACCCTAATATAAACTATGGACTCTGGGTAATAATGATGTATCATTGTAGTCCATCAATTGTAACAAATGTGTAATTTGTTTTTGACAATTATAACAAATGCACAATTTGTTGTTGATAATTATAATAAATGCACCATGGTGGCAATGTTGAGAATGCATGAGTTGAGGAAAGGGTGTTTGTGAAATCTCTGTATCTTCTTCTCAATTTTGCTGTGAACCTGAAATTGCTCTAAAAATAAATAAATAAATAAAGTTTCTTAATGGAAAATGATGTGTCAGGCAAATATGAAGTTAAAATAAAAGTTGAAGTCATATTAATATCAGACTTTGAGGCAAGAAGCATTATTAGAAATAAAGAGGGACATTTGATAATAAGAAAACTTTCACCAGAAGGATGAAATAATACTAAAATTTTACATTTAACCACATAGCCTCAATATATGTACAAGAATAATTGACAAAACTAAAATGGAAATAGGCAAATCCACCCTGGCTGGAGTGCAGGTGTGTGATCACGGCCCACTGCAGCCTCTCAACCTCCCTGGGCTCAGGTGATCCCTCCCATCTCAGCCCCCCAACCGGGTAGCTGAGACTACAGGAGATGCAGCGAGACAGAGACAGAGAGAGAGAGGAAATACCGAGGTCTTACCTTTGTTCTCTCCCACTTGTTTATTGTTATTGTCGTTTATTATTTGTTATTATGTTTACTGTTGGTTGGTTAGTTTATTTATTTTGAGACAGGGTCACTCAATGTTTTGGGCTCAAGCCATCCTCCTACCTCCGGTCCCCCACCCCCACTCCAGAAGCTGGGACTATAGGCACGTGCCACCACAACGGTTTACATTTTTATTTTCTAATGTTTTATGTATCGTGTGTGTGTGTGTGTGTGTGTGTGTGTGTGTGTATGTGAAGATGGGGTTCCGGGTTCTGCCATGTTGCCCAGGCTGGTCTTGAACTTCCTGTGTTGTTTTTCTAGCCCTACTTTCAGTTTGTTTCTACAGTACTTACTTGGAGTTGCTGTTGTTTTACTTCTTTGTTCTTTTCTCTCTCTCTCTTTTTTGTTTTTTTGTTTTGTTTTGTTTTTATTTTCCTGCGCTCCTTTCTGCACGCTGAAGTTTGAAACATCTCCCTCAGTAACTGGCAAAACAAGCAGATCATAAAACTCAGTAAGAAAAGAGAAGATTGAACAACACAGGTAAAAAAAAAAATGACCCAATAGGCTAATACAGAATATGTCACCCAGTATTTTAGAACTGTTACCAACCTAGGCTTGAAGGGAGGAGAGAAAGGAGTGCTTATAAGAAGGACGGCTGCCTTGTGAAAGGCAACAAGTTCAGGACAACTGCTAGGAGGCATCTGAGAGCTGACATCCCGACCTCACTGTCTTCCCTCCCAGGGCTCTCCATTGGCCAAGTCCAGATGAAAACCACTGATACAATCCCCACACTTCAGCCTCCCTGGGCAGGGAGTAGTGGAGAAGGGTGAGCAAGACAACTAGGGGTGGGGGCAAAGGAAAGTTACCCAGCACAGGTGTGCAAAAAGGAAACTTTCTTTTCTACAACTCAATGTAATTTTTGATTCCCTACCCCATCCTATCTTTTATACACACTTAATTGATTCATTTTCCTATAAATTCAGTCTTTGTATGATTTCTCGTCACTTAAGATTTAAAACTCATTTATATCAGGATTTTTCCCTTTTCGGGACTTCTTCCCTTTTCATGGCTTTTCATTGCTCCAGGGGCTGATGATAACTCTGAAGTTTATAAGGCAACAGAGGAGAGAAAAGGAGGAAGATGCCCTCTTCTTAGTTTCCATCTCTATCAGGTCTCTGGTGACCTCATGCTTTAAATAGGACTCATCCCACTTTGTCCATGGCATAGACAGTGTAGGATGGGTGCTCCCTCAGTGATGGCTTCTCTGATCTGCAGGCCCTGGTAGCCCCCTGGGAATCTCAGACTACTGATTCAGCCATATCTCCAGCCAGTTCCTTGTAGAAATTGTCCCAGCTGTAATACTGTATGTGTATTCCCTAATCTCAGCCACTAGACGCTGGTTAGACCCACTGTAGTGTGTCTATGTCTCTACTAACTCCTTGGTTCCACTAGGCACACCTTACAAAATTGGGATGCTCTACCAAGCCTTGGGAAACTATGGGGTGTATTGGGAAAGGGGACTATCCCTAACTCTGTCATAACTAGGTATGCCTCCCCACCCCTCCTCTCTGTGGTCCCAGGACAGCACAGTAGATGTCACTAGCTTGCTGCTGGGCTACATGGCAGAAAGTGTGATACAAGTCCTCTCTATTCACCATCCTGAACTTTATCAGGAGAATGCAGACAGTGGAGTGTCCCCAACATGCCCTGACTGACGGGGGCACCTCAGTTTGGAGGGTCTTTGCAGACCCATGTGGAGGGAATGGGGAGAGCCAGAGACTGGATTACATCTCCTTTCAAGGATTTCCCAGTGTGCACTCATAAAGTAGCACTTGGACCCAGAGTCTGGCCTCTGTGTTCTCTGGTTCAATGTGACAAGTGCCACTGCAGCTCAGGGCAACCCCGTATCATGGACATGGCACAGAAGAAAAGGATGCTGGTGAGTGTCTCATGAGTCCCCCTCACAGTGCCCTGCCTCATGTGAACAGTTGGTTCCACCTCTTGCATCCTCAGTCTCATCCCCACTCATCTTCTGAAGGTTTTAATTTCTTCTGCCACCCTTTTCTCTCCTACTGCATCAGCCTCTCCCCTCTGCTGGATCACTCAACAGCACACATGCTCTAGGGGCTCATCTGAAAACCAACCAGAATCCCCTTGGCTTTCCTCCTTCTCTCTGCTACTGTCCCATTTCTCCACTCCATATCAGCAAAACCTCTCTCAAAGGCCATCTACACTGTCTCACCTGCTCTGCTCTCTTCAACTCACTCCAGGTGGGCATGCATCTCTGTTGCTTTATTGAAATTCCTTTTGTCAGTGTCACCATAAACCTGGCTAGAGTCAAATCTTTTTATTGCCTCCTGAACGGCACAGTGGCCACAGCTCTTTCTTGGCCACAGCCTGTCCTGGCTCCTGTAAACACCACTCTCTGCTTGTTTTCCTCCTCTCCCCCCACAGCTCTCCTCTCAGCCTCATTGGCTGTCTTCCTCTGTTACACCCAACCTACGAACATTAGCACCAAAGCATATTTCTGGTCTTTCTTCTCCAAGTCTCACCTATGCTTTCCTCCAAATGCTATTGGTTCTCATATTTACTCACAAGCCGATCCCCACTTCCAGCCTGCAAAGCTCCATACCCAACTGCCTTTCTGATCTCTCCACTTGCATCTCCAGCTGGCATCTGAAACCTAGCAGGAGGAAAATAGAATTTCTGGCTGGCCCCTTCCCTGCTCTTGGCCTGTAGTGTGTCTATGTCTCTAGTAACTCCTTGGTCCCACCAGGCACACCTTAAAAAACTGGGATGCTCTACCAAGCCTTGGGAAACTATGGGGTGTATTGGGAAAGGGGACTATCCCCCATATCCCAAGAGACTCAGCCTGTCTCTTGGCCTCATTATCTACCCAGCTAGCTTCTCCAACCCCTAATTTGGGAGGTGCACACATTGATCCGCTATCCTTAATATACCATGCTTGAGCATCACAACAGACCCCATAGCTGGCATCTTCATGGTGACCTCCCTGGTCCAAGTCATCAACCCCTCTCACTGGAGCTATTTCAATACCTCAATACCTTCAACTCCTCTCCTGGCTCCTCTCCTTCCCCTGTATGATCTCTTCTCCACCCAGCAACCACAGTAATGCATAAACATACTGGAAACATGAATCAGCTCATGTTACTCCCCTGCATAAACACTTCAACACTGGCCTATGTAGTCTTAGTATAAAATTCAAACTCTATGCCAGGTCTTTTATATATACTTTTTCTTTCAGTGATGGTCAAATCTTGAACTCTTATTTCATATCTCAAAAACCAAAAATAAGTAAACAAATAAATAAATAATCTGAACATACTCATATTGAATTTGAATTTTAAAAGCTTCATTGATGGACTTGAATGAGTATCTCCCAATACATGTGACCAATGTGGTTAATTTATTATTTCGATTTTAGCCGGCCAAATCTTATCTAATATCAACATGAGCATCAAGTTTCACAAAATTAAAGAAAAAGTGGTTGTTTTAAACTGTCCCAGTTGCAAGATTCTATGTGCATTCTCTCATCTCAAAATTTCCCCTAAGTAGCAGAATGCCTGTAGTGGGAAAGGTATTTATGGGGCAACCATTAAATGGAAAGTTGAGGCTGGGAGAGAAGAGGACTTACCCAAGGGCAGGTGACTAACACATAGCAGAGTTGGGGGGCAACCTCAGGTCTGTAAGATTCTAAAGCTCCATAGGTCTCTGAAGCTGGTCGTGGTCACCACTGCAGCCGCCAAGCTCTGTACTCTGAAGCAGGCACAGTGCCAGGGGCTTTGCACTCATGCCATTTAGCCCTCATGACAGCTCAATGTGGTGTAGACTATCATTATCACCATTTGCACACAGAGGAACTGAGGGTAAGGACTATACTGACTGCCCAAGCCAAACAGCAGTAAATAGTGGGGCCAGGATTTGAACCCACTTCTATGTGATGCTACCACCCACATTCAAAAGCATGCCCCTATCCTGCCACCCCTACAGCTCTGGGACCTCAAAAGAAACAAGCTTTATTCTCTGGGAGTACAAGACGGTTTGGGGCTGGCAGAAAGACTGGTACATGGGACGGACTGTGGCCAGGACAGTGGGAGTTCAGCCAGCCTGAGGAACTCCATCAGAGCAGCTCTGGGGAGACCCAGCTAGGGAGCCAGGACTGGAACCTTGATAGTTCAGCATTTCCCTTCCCATCTTCCCCCCTAGCTTTGAGGCTCTGGGAGTCTTCTGAAGCATCTTTCAGTCTGGGGAGAAGCTTGGGGTCACTAGTCCTCAGCCCTCTGCCCCTGAGATAAACAGTCATCTGTTCTCACCTTTGCTAGCCCTCCAGAGCGGAGATGCCATGGGACTTCTGCCACCTGATGCAGGTGACTTCCTTCTGTCATGATACAAAACCCCCTTAGGCTCCCACAACTCTGTGCCCCTCCTGCAGCATAAGAATGTCTGTCTGCTCTCTCACTCAACACCATGGCCCAAGAATTTGACTGTGAGCCTCAGAGCAGCCAGTGAGGGTAGCGCTTGAAGGTCAGACCATCACTGTCATGAACAGCCAGATGATTAGGTACGTGGGCTCAGGCAGGGCACCAGAGGAACCCAGACCTGGGGAGCTGGAGAGTAGATGCAAGGACAATTCAGAGAACCCTGGGAGGACACCATGCCTGTGTTTGCAGGTTCCCATCATTCTGTCTAGCCCCATGCCTCCATGCCCCATGTGCTGTTTGTGGGAAGAGTGTCCTCCAGTCACAGCATTAATGGAATGACTCCCTCGCATGCTGTGTGCCCTTGGAAAGTCACTGCATTCTCCTGCTTCCTTGTTTGTAAATGGGATGGGTGGCCAACAAACATACTTCTCCAGACCTTCTGGCCACATTTGACATAATATGTTCTCCTGAAGCCCTGTCACTTTCTACTTAGAGAGATGTGAGGAACACCAGAATCACGGACTAACAGGGGATCTGTGTGGGTTTGCTGGGGTTGCTGCCTTACTAAGTGGCTCTGGGCAGGCTAAAATCTATCTCAGAGCCCCAGTGTGACACGGTGATTTCTAAAGGAAGGCCCTTCCAGTCTTAAGATTAGGTGACTGTGTTACTCCATTCTTGCATTGCCATAAAGAAATACCTGAGACTAAATAAGTTACAAAGAAAGGCGTTTTAATTGGCTCACGGTTCTGCAGGTTTTACAGGAAGCATAGCACCAGCATCTGCTCAGCTTCTGGTGGAGCCTCAGGAAGCTTTTACTCATGGTGGAAGCTGAAGTGGAAGTAGGCATGTCACATGGTGAGAGAGACAGCAAGGACCAGGGAGGTGCAATGCTCTTTTAAACAACCAGATGTCGCATGAACTCAGAGTGAGAACTCACTCATTACCAAAGGCATGGTACTAAGCCATTCATGAGGGCTTAATCCATGAATGGCTCCTTAATCCAACACCTCCCACCATGCCCCACTTCTAACACTGGGGATTATATTTCAACATGAGATGTGGAGGGGACAAATATCCAAACTATATCATTCCACCTCTGGCCTCCCAAATTTCATGTCCTTCTCGTATTGCAAAATACAATCGTCCCTTCCTAATTGTCCTTAAAAGTCTTAACTTATCAAAATCCAAAGTCAAAAGTCTTATCTGAGACTCAGCTCCTTCCACCTATGAGCCTGTAAAATCAAAACAAATTATTTACTTTCAAGATACAATAGTGGTACAGGCACTGAGTAAACATTCCCATACCAAAAGAGAGAAACTGGCCTAAAGGAAGGGGCAAGAGGCCCCATGTAATTCCAAAACTCAGCAGGGCAGACGTAAAACCTTAAAGTCCCAAAATAACCCTTGACTCCATATCCCATATCCTGGGCACACTGGTGCAAGCGGTGGGCTCCTAAGGCCTTGGGAAGCCCTGCCCCTATAGCTTCCCTGGGCACAGTCCAAGTGACTGTAACTGCTCTCATGGGTTTGAGTTGAGTGCCTGCAGCTTTTCCAGGCTTAGGGTGCAAGCTGCTGGTGGCTCTAACATTCTCAGCTCTGGAGAGCAGCAGCCCCCTTCCCACAGCTCCACTAGGCAGTGCCCTGGTGGGGACTTTGTTCGGGCTCCAACCTCACATTTTCCCTTGGCATTGCCCTAGTAGAGTATCTTTGTGGGGGCTCTGCCCCTGTGGTAGGCTTCTGCCTGGGCACCCAGGCTTTCCCATAAGTACTCTGAAATCTAGGGGGAAGCTGCCAAGCCTCCTTCATTCTTGCTTTCTGCACACCTGCAGGCTTAACACCACATGAAAGCTGCCAAAGTTTGTGGTTTGTGCCCTCTGGAGCAGCAGTCTGAGCTGTACCTGGACCCCTTTGAACTGAGGCTGGAGACAGGGTGGCTGGGATGTGGGGAGCAGTGTCCCAAGACTGCTCATGGCAATGGGGGCCTGGGCCTGGCCCTTGAAACCATTCTTTCCTCCTAGGCCTCAGGGCCTGGGATTGGAGGCTGTCTCTAAGATCTCTGAAATGCCTTTGAGGCCTTTTTCCCATTGTCTTGGATGTTAGCACTTGGCTCCCTCTTAGTTGTACACATCTCTCTAGCAAGTGGTTACTCCAAAGGCTGCTTGGATTCCTTCTCTACCACAGGGCCAGGCTGCAAATTTTCCAAACTTTTATACTCTGCTTCCCTTTCAAATACAAGTTACAACTGTAAGCCATTCCTTTGCTCCTATATCTGATCATATGCTATTAGAAGTAGCCAGGCCACATCTTGAATGTTTTGGGGCTTAGAGATTTCTTCCACCAGATACCCTAAGTCATCACTCTTAAGTTCCAACTTCCACAGATCCCTAGACATGAACACAATGCAGCCAAGCTCTTTGCTAAGGCATTACAGGGATGACTTTTACTCCAGTTCCCAATAACTTTCTCATTTTCATCTAAGACCTCCTCAGCCTGAACTTCACTCCCCATATCATTATCAGCATTTTGGTCACAACCATGTAGCCAGTTTCTAAGAAATCCCAAACTTTCCCTCATCTTCCTGACTTATTCTGGGCCTTCCAAACTCTTCCAATCTCTGCTCATTAACCAGTTCCAAAGCCACTTCCACTTTCTCAGGTATCATTATAGCAATGCCCCACTCCTTGGTACCAGTTTTCTGTGTTAGTTCATTCTTGCATTCTTACATTGCTCAAAAGAAATATCTGAGGCTGGGTAATTTATAAAGAAAAGAAATTTAGTTGGCTCACAGTTCTATAGGTTGTACAGGAAGCATGGTGCTGGCATCTGTGGCCAAGAAAATATTACTCTAACAATGTGATACAGATGTTCCTCAATTTATGATGGAGTTGCATCTCAATAAAACCATCTAAGTTAAAAAATATTGTAAGTCAAAAATGCCTTTAGGCTGGGTGTGGTAGTGCATATCTGTAATCCCAGCACTTTGGGAGGCCAAGGCAGATGGATCACTTGAGGCCAGGAGTTCACGACCAGCCTGGCCAACTTGACGAAACTTCATCTCTACTAAAAATTACAAAAATAAGCCGAGAATGGTGGCACATGCCTGTAATCCCAGCTACTTTGGAGGGTGAGGCACAAGAATCTCTTGAACCTGGGAGGACAAGGCTGCAGTGGGCCATGATCACACCACTGCACTCCAGGCTTGGCAACACAGTGAGACTCTGTCTCAAAAAAAATGTATTTAATTCACCTAACCTACTGTACATCACAGTCCAGCCTAGCCTAGTTGAACGTGCTCAGAACACTTACATTAGCCCATGGTTGGGCAAAATCATCTAACACAAAAAACCTATTTTACGATAAAGTGTTGAATATCTCATGTAAAAGTATCATACTGCATATCACTAGCCTAGGAAAAGATCAAAACTCAAAATTCAAGGTACTGTTTCTACTGAATACATATGGCTTTTGCACCATCATAAAGTCAAAAAATCTTACATCAAATCATCTTAAATTAGGGACCATCTCTACTTGATAAGGTTCCTCTGGCCAAAAATCTTTGAGCACCAAATCGAAAAGTGGTGGCCTACTGATTTGGCAGCTTCCCATTCTGGGGGTTATGGTCTCATGGGACCATGATATCATCAGCAAGAAGAGAGCCCCACTGATTGTTGAAATGCTCCCTAGGTGGGCTCCTATACAAACACCAGGGAAAAATTCCCGGCAGCTCCGCTATGTTACTGCTGCTTCCTGATAACACCAGAGGGCTCCTAAAATAGTTCTCAAGTAGATGTTGTGACTGTCAGATATGTAAATCGAAGGGTAACAAGCAAAATGTGCTGGACCTAGGAGCTCGGTGCTAAGAGGGTGGGCAAGGGGTGGTCGGACACAGGCTGCCCTGGAGCCAGCAGGAGTTAGCTCAGAGGAGCCTCCAGGAAATGAGCACCGCAGCTTCCAACCAGGTCTCCTTCCATGCAGACGAGACTGCGGGCCGGGCCACATGTACTCACGTTACTCAATGACTCACAGACAGTGGCCAAGGGACAGCTCAGGGCCATCTTTAGCTGACAGGCTCAGTGTCACTTCAGTCCATGCCCGAGCCCTCCCCAAGAGAGCCCACTCTGTCTCCAGCACCACTGCTCCCAGCTCCACCCAGGCCTCCCTCTCTGAAGTGGGGAAAGCCTGGGAGCTCTTCCTCTTTATCAGCCCTGCATCTCCTGCTGTCCTGCTGACCAAGACACTCTCTTCCTGCTGATTGTGATGTGTTTGTGGAAATCCACCGGTTTCTGCTGTATCATGACATTCTATTCCTACCAAGCCAACATGACACCCAAAACATTTCCAAACATGCATAACCATACACAGACCTTCTCACAAGATTTATCTTCTGGACACATTACTTAAACTAACAAGGCCTCCCTTTTTCTCCTTTTCAGTGCTGGCCATTGCCCCCGGCTGGTTTTCTGCCTTCCCCCTGCAAGCTGCAAAAGAAAGTTGGTGGGGCTTGAACTAGAAGCCTACAGCTCCAGTGTGACCAGCTCCAATGGATCAGGCACATTAACAACAGAGCCCCGCAGCACTCTGTGGGTCAGAGAAATGCACAGAGCCCCACTCTGCAAAGGAAGTCAACAGGGGCTCAGCAACTGGCCCAGGTCGGCTGTGGGTCCAGGCCTTTCTATCAATCCCAGTCCTTTTCCACTGCAAGAGACTGCCCCACTCTTATTCTTAGAAGAGACCTTGCAGAGTATTTAGGGTGAAATGCCTAGCATTGAAATATTTATTTTCAAAAATATATAGAAAATATATGTAGAGAGAAAGAGAGAGTCCCTGTGCAATAGAGTGAGGCTACTTTGCAGGTGATGAGGTACTGCAGGTGCAGTCGAGAGGGTAAGGCCTGACCTTTGGTGCGATAACAAGAAAGGTGAGGAAGGGGTTGAATGCAGGGCATGAAGGAGGGGGAGTGGGCACTGGCTTGAGTGAGTGGAAGATGGTGAGGCCATTTATTTTGAATGGAAACACAGGAAAAGAAGGAGGTGTGGCCATTCTCTTTGTCCTGAGCCTTCGCCCTCTGTGATGTGGGATCCCCAGGCAGAACTTAGGAGAAAGCTCTAGTTTCGCAGCAACAATTCCAGGGGTATCAGAGCATCAAAGGGAAGATGTTGGATGGGTTGCCTAAAAGCGCAAAAAGCAAAGATGGGGCAAGGAGATGGCCTGAAGACCAACATTCAGAAATAAGGCTGGCAAGAGGCCAACAGAGGTGACTGAGATGGGATGGTCCAGGAGGTTGGAGGAGAATTGGGAGAAGGTGCCTTGGAAAGCAAGAAGCGAGGGCTGCCCAGTGAGTGTTGAATGCAGCAGAGAAGTCAAGTAGCACAAGGTTGAAATGTGTCCCCTGACCATTGAAGCAGTTCCACCTGGGGATTTTTTTCCTTGGTGAGAACAGGTTCAGTGGGATGGGGAGATGGAAGACTTCAGTGAGCTAGAGAGCAGGTGGAAGGAGAGTGGGGATGACGGGGAAGTCCACAACCCTCACAAGAAGCTGCCTGTGAAACAGGAGAGAAGGGAATTTGCTAGAGGCTAGAGGGGTCAATGGGGGAGCAGGGGTTCCTGTCACACTTTTGTTGAAAAACACATTGGTCCTGGAGTTCCTGAACCTGCTAGTGGAACAGGGCTCAGGATGGCCCAGACCTCCTCAGAAAAAATGGGAGGAGCCAGAACAGGATGGTGTTGGAACCAGTGCATGTGAGGAGCGCACACTCAGATGGGGCTGCCTCAGGGCTCAGATCTGATGGACTGTCCTGGTGTCTGAGTGTCCCCCAGCGGGGTTACAGCTCCCGAGGTCTCTGAGCATACAGGCATATTTTCCTACAGCTCCCTGGTCATTTCGATGCTGTTGGTTTAACTTCGCCACTTAGAGGAATATAGAGTTTGGCAAGAAAGGCTCTTGGTTTCCTCTGTGAGAACTGTCGTGGTGGATTGGAAATCTGCCCTGTATGTCCCACAAGACAGCAGGAAAGTAGCCAACATTGTGGGTCTGTGGCATAAATCCTCAGAGCAGCCATCCTGGGCCAAGTGTGCAGGGTACAGAGCACAGGTGCTGGTTTGGGGTGGAGATCTGGGGCCCAGGGCAGGCCTCAGAATCCAAACCCTCTTGGGGGCACTGCTGGGTCTCTAAGCTGCATGGACGTGGTCAGGCTACACGGGCACATTCAACAAGGCAAAGAGAGAGCCCTGGGGTGAAAGCTTTGACAACCTGAGAAAGTTCTTGGCAAACAAGCCTAGGTTAAGGACTCTGTACTTCAGGAGAATATTCTGGAATCCCAGCTGCTAGGGTCTAGGGTAAAGAAATAGGCCGTGCAGCCGATAGCTGCCAGGGAAGATGACAAGGTTGAAGGGGACAGGACTGCCACCTGCACAGCCAGCCTGGGCATCTGCTGTCCGGCTGAGTGCTGGGCCCCACTCCTCAGCCATGGGGATCTAGGACCTCAATGGGGCCTTCCCACCTTCCTCTCAGGAATGCCTTGCAGGAGGCCAAGGAGCCATTTTCCAAAAGGCAAGAAGTACCAAGTAACCTGGAACAACCTGCTGGGTTTCTGAGGGCGAGAAGCTCCTTCCGCTACCGTAGCAAAGCCATTTGGTTTAAAATCCTCATAAAAGCAACAATGCTCATTTCCTATATTGGGTTGTATTTCCTAATTACCATCCCAGAGGGAAACCTAGGGAGAAGGAAGGCAGAGAAGCCAGCCTCACAGCCTTCATTTGTGCATTTAAATAAAGTGTGATTAAAAAGCACACCCTGCACATTTCCTGAAACACACCTACCTTTGGCGGATGCTTCTGATCAACACAAAGTGGAATCGCTTGAAAAAATTATTACTTCAGCTTGAAAGTAATTGCCACTTATTTTGTTTATAAAGCAAGCTCTGCTGGTGACATCAGATTAGACTTAACTGCATCCTGTTTTGATGCTAACTAATATTTGCCCTAATACTAAGCATAAATAAGTAGGAATTTCTCCTGAGACACCACAGATATTACATCTTTAATGGGACCTAATAGTCGGAGGCAAGCCAATGGCCCTGCTGTGGGATTATAATTATGTGCGCTCCTTCCCCCCTTTTAAATTTCACGAACAGAGAGGAGCACTCGAAGCCATTAGGCTTTCTCCAGAAACATAGGGTAAAAATAAAACCAGCCACGTGCAAACTCCACCGTCATCCATTCCGGAAGATGACGGCATTCCCAACGCTCCCTCAAATGCACTGCCTTTCCCAAAGCTTCCCGATAAGTGGCTGATGCCACCAGCTGCCGGCAGGAGGCTGGGCAGCTGGAGTAAGCCACACTCCTGCTGAGCCAGGGAGTCTGAGCTTCAGGTAAACTCTGCCCTCCAGGCATGTTCTTGCAGCCTCCTAGGGCATCCCTGCCCGTCACCCACTGGTCTACACAGGGAAAGCAATCTCCAGCCTTGTCGGAGAGTTTTGCCCTTGCGCTGTGTGTGTGTGTGTGTGCGCGGGCGGGCGCGCGCGCGCGCACACATTTTTGGGTTTTGTGTGTGTGTAAGCGTGCTTGCTGTTGCTCTTTTTTTGTGTGTGTGAGCTCAAAGGACACCCGAGGCACCTGGACAAATAGGCAGAACCCTAGACAGGAGCTTATTCAGACCTTAGGGTCTGAATCCAACCCTGCCCGCCTGTCCCTCAGCCCTGCCCCACCAAGCTGCTGAGAATCTGGGGCCTTGAAACAAGAAACATGGTGAATGCTTTGAAAGATGAACCAAGACTTAAAGGAGAAAGAGACCTGATGTCATCTCTAGGCACAGGAAGTAGAAGATGGGATGTAGATGGTATAAAAGGAGGATGTTGGAGCATAGACCCTGGGGAACCTCACCTACCCAGACTTGGACAGCAGGCTGAGAAGCAGCATGTCTGCTGGACAGAAAGCTGCATGGTGGCCCACCTGGGCTGGGGACAGGAGGGACGTGGTGACCGGGCAGCCAGGCTTTCCAGGCCCACTCCTTGAAGGGGAGGCCAGCGGGCTACAGGTTACTCTGGGGTGAACCAGTGGAGTCACACAGGCCGGGGAGTGGAACTGGGCTGGGCGGGAGGAGTTCGGGATGATGCTAGGGTCTGGTCCTTTCTCCCTATTGCTGGAGTCCTGGGTCCTCTGTGGGTCAGCATGGAAGTGATCCTCAAGAGGACAATTTTTCCAGCCAATGGGCAAGTCATAAACCAGCCCCTTCTAGACATCTGAAAATGAATTCCTCCCATATTCCCCAAAGTGACTCCACAGATTATGTCAAATAGACCGTCTTCTGTTTGGCTTTCTTGGGCCTGTGGAATTCCTCAAGCAGAGGAAGCCCTCCCTAGCCAAGGCCTGTGGGCTGGGACCCTGCCAACCCTTACCTGGCTTCTCCTCTCTCTGGCCCTCCATCAGACTAATGGCCTGGTTATTAACTCCACCTGCATCTGACATCAAGGTACTCAATAAGCAGTAGCTATTACTTTATTATTATTTTATAATAGGTATAGAAGAAATGCGTAGAGGCATGGATGACACCTGCCATAGGGATTCAGAGGGGAGGTTCACAGAGGAGCCGATTTGAGCCAGGAGAATGGGGAGGGCCTTCCAGGTGAGGTATCTCTGAGAACAAAGACTCATCAATGGGAAGGTGTGCCGCTGGTTAGGTAAACACTGCATGAACTATTTGACTCTAACAAGAGGTCCTTGTTAGGAGAACAGGGGCCCGGGAGGAAAGATGGAGAGGGACAGGAAAGGTGCACAGGTGTTGGGCGAAGCTGCTGAGATTCCGTTCCACCTGCCATGAGTGATTCCCAAGCATCTTTACACCTGAGAGTGGCAGACGTCCAGCCTTCATGCTGCAGTGAGAGCCGTCCTCTCTCAAGGGATCTGCTGCACATGTTTTTTTGAACAAGCTGTTTGCTGCTGCCAAGCAAGTTTCTGCCCTTCTTTTTAATTTTTAGAAATTTAAAAAATACAAAGAAGAAAAATGACTCATGTTTCAAACCCTAGAACCTACCACTGTAACTATTTTGGTATATTTTTTCATTTGTTTCTGTGCTTACATATTTTTTTAAATTGCACAGGTACTATATTAATTCCCTCTATTAAACAATGTTAGGACATTTTAGTTAAAATTAAGTCCCATTACCATCACCTCCACCAGTGGCTATCTCTATTATAATTTTCTTATTGCCTCCAACTTATTTTTAGTTATATATATTGATGAGTACATATATAACCATTGATAATAAATCATATCGTTAGGCATGTTTCTATTTTTATAACTGGCAAAAAATGCATTTTTCTATACCTTGGTTTTGTTCACTTAACATTGGGTTTTGAGATTTATCCATGTTAATTCAGGTAGCCTCAAGTCTATGCTTTTTGCCTGCTGTACAATGTTCTTATGTTTGCAAGGATTACATTTAATGTGTCTTTCCCCCATCCGCACTACCTTTACGTTGTTGCTGTTAATTATTGCAAACATTGCTACCATGAATATCCTGTACATCTCTCCTGGTTCTTACCTTTAAACTGACACACCAAATCACTCTGTCTTCAAGGCTAGGAAAGCCATTATCCTGAGAAAGATCATTGTTTCACCGTGCCTAATACCTAAAGAGGAATTGTTGCATGATGGGGTGTGTGCATTTTAATTCCTTTCTCTTCTCTGAGGGGATTTAACTGGCCACACACATTCCTAAAATAAACCTCTCAGAGTTTGGAGACGTCAGTGCACTCTCAGGAGGAATTAGTCAGGAGGCTTTCTGGGAAACTAGATTAAAAATCTTTCACATGGATAATGCTATTTGGCCTTAGCTTACTACTAATATTGGTATGACTTTCACTCTTATGTATTTATATTTTTAATTACAAGTATATTACAATGTTACATAAAATGTAGAAAGAGATGGAATGTCATTCCTGTAGAATTGGAAAATCACATTTTTGCCATCTGAAGGCAATGAGTCTTGACAGCAGTCATCAGTGTTACACATCCATTAGTTGATCAGACATCATTCAGAGTGGGACCACCGGACACCATGCTCCTTATGATATGATGCAATAGGAAGGACATGACACCATCTGCCAAGGGCTCTTTCCAAAATGAAACTGAACCTGAGCACGAGCAAGCATCTAGGTCCAGCTTCCAAGTAAAGAAAACCTGGGAGCCAGAGAAACAAGCTCAGTGATGCCTGCTCAACAAAGTCAGATGAATCCAGAATCCACAGAGCGAATGATCTAGTTCTCCCACAAATACACAGCATGAGAAAAGGGCACTATTGGAGCTTGTCTGAATAGTGTTTACAGACTTGTTACCAAACAAAACATGTAGAATTTGTTTGGATCCTGTGAGAGCAAGTCAACTATAAAAAGCCTCTTTATAGAAAATCAAGGAAAATTAAGCACAGGTTATTAATATAGTGTTAAGAAATTATTGCTAGTGGTCAACATGATGGTGATGACTAAATCCAAATCTCCCAAAACAACCTCTAAAAGACAGACAGACACAGACAGAAACAAATACAAACAACAAATAAAAGTGTACAAAACGGATACCCACTGCATAAAATATCCAAACTTCAAATTAGTTGATTGAACAAAGAACCAAGTTGTGGGTAACGGGAGATGCATTTATTACGGTCAGAGTAAAGGAGTTAAATATAGAGAAAATGAGAAAGATAAATGAGGTGTTAGACTGAAATTAGAGTTCCACAAGGTGAATTAAAGACTTACATCTAAGACCTGAAGCAATAAAAATACTAGAAGAAAACCTGGACAAACTCTTCTAGACATTGGCCTAGGCAAATAATTTATGAATAAGATCCCAAAAGCAAATGTAACTAAAACAATAATAAGTAAATGGTGTCTAATTAATTAAGCTAAAATGCTTCTGCAAGGCAAAAGAAATAATCAACAGAGCAAACAGGCAACCTACAGAATGGGAGAAAATATTTGCAAACTATATATCTGACAAAGACTAATATCCAGAATTTACAAGGAACTCAACAAATCAACAAGAAGAAAACAATCCCATTAAAATGTGGGCAAATATAATGAACAGACATTTCTCAAAAGACGATACACAAATGGCAAAAAAAAATGAAAAAATGCTCAACATCACTAATCATCAGAGAAATGCAAATTAAAACCACGATGAGATACCACCTTACCCCAGCCAGAATAGCCATTATTAAAAAGTTGAAAAACAATAAATGTTGGCACAGAGGTAGTAAAAAGGGAATGCTGCTGGTGGGAATGTAAATTAGTACAACCTCTATTGAAAACAGTATGATTATTTTTCAAAGAACTAAAAGTAGATCCACCATTGGTTCCAGAAATTCCACTACTGGGTATTTACCCAAAGGAAAAGTCATTATGTCAAAAAGACATCTGCACATGTATGTTTATTGCAGTGCAATTCACAATTGCAAAGATATGGAATCAACCTAAGTGCCCATCAACCAATGAGTGGATAAAGAAAATGTGGTATATATATACCATAGAATACTACTCAGCCATAAAAAAGAGCAAAATAATGCCTTTTGCAGCAACTTGGATGGAACTGAAGGCCATTATCTTTAATGAAGTAACTCAGTCAAATACCACATGTTCTCATTTATAAATGGGAGCTAGGTGATGGGTGCACAGAGGCATTCAGAGTGGCATAATTGACATGGGAGACTCAGAATGGGGGAGGGTGGGAGGGAGATGATGGGTGAAAAATACCCATTGGGTACAATGTACACTATTCTGGTGAGAAGTACACTCAAAGCCCAGACTTCACAACTATATAATTTATCCATGTAACCAAAAGTCACTTTTTAAAGCTATTGAAATTAAAAAATAAATATATGTAAGGCACAAACACTTGAAAGCAGTTACATTTTTAGTATCTGCTAGTTGAGAAAATACAGACTATTAAAATTTAGAAATTAGAGTTCCAATGTAAAGATGGAGATATGGATACAGATACACACACACACACACACACACAAAATAGCTAACTAGATATGGAGCCATGCATATGTGTGGTGGACGTGTAAATATAGGTATTTGTACAGAGGTCTGTAAAAACAGTTCCTAGCGGGGACCACTGGAAACAGTGATGCCTCCATAGCACTGAGTACATTTGGCATCCAGATCTTCGTTTCTAAAAACCATCTCTACCAAAAGAACTCAGCAGTCCTTGGTACAATAGCTGTTTCCAGGGCTGGAGTATAGAATGTACAAGATGAGACTAGAACATACTGTGTGCTGGAAAGTTAGAAAGTGCTCAAAAAATTTAATGATAGGTCTAAAGGACACCAGATTCAGCATGAAGGGCTCTCAATGGCCAAATCTGGGAAAAATAGAACATCAAAATAAATAATAATAGTAATGGGTGATAATGGGTTGAATAATACAAGGATACAGGAGTCCATGCTGATGTCAATCAATGAATCAATCCGTT